>NC_000004.12:113466835-113618350 GCF_000001405.40 Homo sapiens
CTTGATACCTTCTTTAGTTTAAAACACATTATTACTTGTTTTAAATTGTTATTAAACTTTCTGTACTGTGTAATGTGTCTTCCTTGTTAACTTAAAAGCTTCCCGAGGGCAAAGAACATTTTATTTTCTTGTATAGCCTAAAAAGCTTTGTTCAGTGTCTTTTATGGAATAGATGCTCAATGTTTGTGAATTTAATCAATTGAGACTAATAAACTTTTCTTGATTTCAGAACACTGTTCTCTTATTTATAAAATTACTGCATGAAATATTTTAGAAATCAAATTTTACTGGATTTTAAGAATATTGCGATATTCCCTTAAAATCACTGAACATAGACTGGGAATCACAAAATGTTACTTCCCATCTTATCTTACTGAGGTAGTGAGGCTATTGATCACGAAGAAAGCTGACCTCAGGTTTTATTCTTTATTGACTAAAGAAACCAGTTTGCATTTTTTATGAATCTGATCTTCATCAAGCAGATTTTAACCACAAGCTTAAATGCTTACTTTCACTCTGAAACTTCAGGTTACCTAGGTGATGACATTATTTAAAAATAAATTTTCTATAAACCACATTTTACTTCATCGAGACTATATGAGACTATATCATAACAAATACAAGTAATAAACTATCCTATAAAATGTGATTAAGTTAGTCCATAATATGGTTGCTAACAATGTCAAGGTCTATAATATTAAAAAATCACTATATGGGTTAGAATTCATATTTAGTTACATAATTACTTTTCATTTATATAAAGTAATATAACACAGCTCCTACAGAAGTCCAAAACATTTCTTGCCCTTGCTCATTTGATTGATGAATATCAATAATACATTCAACAGCAAAACATAGTGACAGAAGTGGTATCAGGGCATGATTTTGTAATAAGGATCCTGCCAGTGACACATTTTAGCTTAATTCAGTTAGGCAATAGGTGATTCATCTGTCTGTGCCCTCAACAGTATGAACATTTGGCAAAAGCTAATGACAGCTGACCCGATTCTGGAATATAAGGGATACGGGTGAGGAGGATCTCAGAAAATGAGATTATAAAAATGTGGCCACCAAAACTTCTCTCTCACATGAAATCCTCATTTCAAACTAACAGATTTTTTTTTTTGGTCTGATATACAGCTGATAGGAAAAACTACAGTTTAGAAAACATGGCCAATTTGAAATGAGCATAAGATCAACGTCCTTCGTGGAGCTTCATTAGGGTAGGCTTCAGTTTATAGAGTGTGAAGAGTTTAGGATCACTTCCTAAAGTTTCTGAAAGTCTCTGCACTGCCTCACAAGCATAATATGGAATTAGAATCATCGGGTGTATATGGCCATCTTTTACTTTCTGAACCACTGTGGAAATACGCATTCACTCTTAAGTATTTTGCATGCCACAACTGGCTTAAGGGTTGTCCTGCATAAACAAAGCAACACAAATTGCCTTCTCTCACTTCTTATGCTTAGAAACGATGGTGCTTTTGCTGGCAGGACAACAAATGGGAATTAGCCAGGATGCTTCTGTGCTGTATCACCATAAAAACAATGTGACTCGTTTGGCTTAGGAGGGGCCTGGAACTCAGGAATCTTTAGAGTGCTTATTTCACTGGGGCAAAGGAGCTTGAGTGAGTCACAGGCGGCACATGACAGCTGACTCTTTAAAGGAAAGCAGAAGGCTGGAAATGAATCATTTGTATATAGTAGTCAGCTTGTTGTTGGAACTGTTGCCACAAGCCCAGCATCTGACCTAGAGGAAGAGCGAGGGTTTGGTGTTAGCTAGCTCTACTCTCAATCAGCAGTGAGGTTGAGGAACAGTTACTGTGTCAGTGGCTTGGACAGACAAGTTGTGTGGGGAGGGGGTCCATTCTCATCTGGCCTTCCCTCTTCCTGAACACCAAGTAATAAATAACCACTCCAAAAGTCAAAGTGGAGAGCTTGTGATGTGTCCCTAATTATACCACGATGAATGCAGAATGTACCAGTAAGGTGTTCCCTGAATACCAGAAGCTTCTTCCACTCCAGAGCTAGCCATTTAATCGCAGGAAGCTGTTTACCTACTAGGTTTATTTCTAGAACTGAAGTGCTCAAGCCTATACTCATAGGACACAAAGTACTTTCTGGCGATTTCTAGATTCTTAGGAAAAGGAAAAAGAGAAAACCAAGTGGGAGAGATGTTCCAGGTTCTGAGTGGAATTACTTTCCATGCAATTATGCACAAAGAATTGGGAACATTTTCCCTTTCAAATTCATATATTTTTGGCTCTTGTTCTAAGAGGCCTGGAAGAGTAAGATAAGGGTGTGAATGATCCCAGTGTTTGAAAACAAAATAAAACCCAAGAACTGAGAGTAACTACATAATAAAACAACTTACAGATTTCAACATTTCCTCAAACATTAGATTTGGTTACTATAACAATACTCAGGAATGCAGTGATTATTTCTTGGTTTAACAGATAAATAAAGGGATTATGCGCATTGCCCAAAGGTATGGAGTTTGCTGATCACTCCTTCCCACCTTCTTGTCTTGGAACACTCTCCTTTTACTTAACTCTCTTGCTTTTCTACATGTTCTCATTCTCATTTGCCATGTTATCCTTCTCTACCTGGATATTAAATGCTTCAATTCCTTCTAAAGACTCAATTTGAGTCCCTCTCCTTATCTCATGCTGCATCCCTAAAGTCCTGTGTACACCAGTGTTTTAAATAGTCATCTATATTCCAATGACTCCCAAATTGTTAACCTCCTTTCTAGACTCTTCCTTCAGATCTATGTGTCAAGGCTATTTTTGAGCCTCCATTTGGGTATCTCAAATGGACCTCAAACCCAACATATACTGAACTGAGCTTAAGAACTTCCACCACTACAAGCCTGCTTGCTCTTCCATGGATCCCCATTTTGGTGAATGGCAAGATCATCTCTCAGTTGCATAAGCCAGAAAGAAACCTGAGGATCATATTTGACTCCCTAAATCCAGCACCTCAAGCCAATCCATTAAGTTCTGTTGAATTTGCCTTCCTCTTCTTTTTGACTTTTTTTCCTCTTCACCCCCACTCTCTCTGGGTATAAGCACCCATCATTTCTTGTCCAGGCTCTGTAACAGCCCTCTGATTTAGTGTTTCTGCAACCAATTTTGCTCTTCACTATTCTGTTCTCTACAATGCAACCACCTCTCTCTCTCTCTTTCTTTTTTTTAAATGCCTATCTCTTCAGATAACCTTCTATTTGAACTCTTCTAAAACCTTCTCACTGCTCTCAGGATAGGTACCTGAAGAGAGACTACAAAACCTTGCGTAATCTGGACTCTGCCCATCTCATTAGACTCATTCAGACTCTTTGACTTTATCTTCTCCAATCCACTCTTGCTCCTTTGTTTTACCAATTCAAAATGGACATTCTGCCTCCTATTACCAGCCCTTTATATGTACTGTCTTCTCTTCTTGGAAAACTGCACCCCCCCCATTTTGCTCCTACTTCTTTTATCAGATCTCAATTCAACTATTATTTCTTCAAAAATGCCTTCCCTGGGCCAGGCGCGGTGGCTCATGCCTGTAATCTCAGCACTTGGAGAGGCCGAGGCGGGTGGATCACGAGGTCAAGAGACCATCCTGGCCAACATGGTGAAACCCCGTCTCTGCTAAAAGTACAAACCTTAGCTAGGTGTGGTGGCACGCACATGTAGTCCCAGCTACTCGGGAGACTGAGGCAGGAGAATCACTTGAACCCGGTAGGTGGAGGTTGCAGTGAGCTGAGATTGCACCATTGCACTCCAGCCTGGTGACAGAGCGAGACTTTGTCTCAAAAAAAAGAAAAAAAAAAAAAAGTCTTCCCTGAGCCTCATGTTAGGTCAGGTCCCCGCGATGTTATGAATTCATACATAGCTGGCACCTGATTTTTAAAAGCACTTAGTACACTTGTATTTACATATTTATTTGCATGTAACCGATTAATCAGTTTTCTCTATTACTCTAGAAGGGTGGTACTGCACCATTGCATCTCTAGCAGATAACACAGTGCATGGCATATAGGAAATGTTTAATAAGTATTTGAATGAATAGTAGGTCCAGAACAAACTCAATTGGTTTCGATTCCCAATCCAATGACCTTTTTAAAATATATGATGGTACATTATTTGGTGATAACCAGACAGCCTTTAAGAAATATAAAATTGACAAATGGAAATAATTTAAGTATAAAGTAGTATGTCTTATCGTTTATTGACAATGACAGAAAACACTTTTTGACTTGTCTAAAACTGATCATCGAACTCCTTTGTTTTCCTGACTTACTCATTTTTGCTAATGAAACCACAATTTTGCCAGTCTCCCAGCTCAAAACCTGGGGTTTCTTCTGGATTCAATTCTTTCTTTGTTTCCATATCCAATCCTCCATGGATCATTCTTTTTCCTTAGCACTTCTGATGATGTTTCCCAGGATACATCCTTAGCCTCTTAATTATTTCATTTGGTTACTCTTGGCAATCTCATTCACTCCTCTGGCTCTGACCGCATGCTGAAGACTGCCAATTCTCTATCTCGGAGACCTTAAATCTTTCTAGGCTCCATGCTCATATTTCTAACTGCATTCTAAACATCTGAATTTGTCCTGGCATTTCAGACCCAGGGTGCCCAAAATGAACCTCAGTATTTTTCTCACAAAGTCTGATGCCTCTCTGGAATTTCTCATCTTGGATAGTGGCATCATAATCTACTCAGCTGCCCAAACTGGAAGCCTTGCTATCTCCTTTCTTTTTATTCCTCATAGATCTTTAGCCATTCTACATTCTTCCAACTCTTTCTCAGAGCCATTTCTTCCTCTCTAGGCTCACTGCCACTACTCTGATTCAGGCTCTCGGAAGTTCCTGACCCTTCCTGCTCCCAGGTCTCCCACACCGGCCTCTCTCACTCCTCACTGTTGCAGAATCATCACTCTATAGAACAGAGCTGCCATTGTCCCCCACCCCTTTAAGGTTTCTAGTCCCCCTCCTCTCATGGTCTAGAAGCTGAAGCCCAAAGTTCTCTGTTTTAAAGATCTTCTTACTTTTCCTGCTTTATCTCTTGACACTTTTTGTCCTCTAGGGCTTTTATATATTCTCCAGCCACACCAAGGGGCTCACCTTTCCTCAGCTAGTCCTGGCTCTTTGATAACTGTACTTTTCCTGCCATTTTTCCTTCTGCCAGAAGCTCTCCCTCTTCTGCCTGAAAATCTTTTTCAATACCTTGCTCAAGTGTCACTTTGTCTGTATTGCTCTTCCTGCGTGCTTCAGACCCAGCTACTTTACGTTACTTTGATCTTACTGCATTATCACGGGATGTTCATATATCTAACTAGAACTTGACCAGTTTATAGTCTGAACACCTAGTACTGAGTCAACGTCCATAAATGCATGCATGTATGAATAAATATCAGTATATGGTTAGACAATATATATAAAATACTGTGTACATTTTAAATCACTAGATAAATGCAAGTATGTAGACAATTATCATGTATGATAGCAGTTTGGATGTGGCGGTGCTGAGAAGGCACCTTGGATACTTCAGAGTCTGCATCAGGACCAAAGTTTATGAGGCTGCAGTATTTCAGATGCCGGAATAGCAGCAGATTTAATCTTAAAAGTTTAGTAAGATAAACCAGATACTTCTAGTCAATGTTTACATTTAATATTTCTTTTCAAGAGGGTTGAGTGCAAAGAAATTCTAGTATTTGAGCTTGAGCTTTTCAGTTGTTTAGATTTTGGATTAATCAGTTCATTGAAGTGAAACTACTTGATGATAAGCCCTATTGAGAGGTCTAGCTGACTACAATGAAACTTGGACCACAAAATAAACTGAATTTATACCTGCAAATGTGTCTTCACTGGGATGTTTGCAGAGTGTCATATGTTGAAATCTTTTAGTGAATTGTGCCTAAAAAGCACTTATTCAATGATCAAAAGCTGTGCAATTAAAATTGTTATATAGCAACAATTTTTGTATCATCTTAAGTTAGCAATTCTATTTATTTACTTTCTTAATATGTCTAGTTCTATTTAATTTAAATCCTTCTTTCTACATTTCTTACAGGTTATTGGGTACTTGGCTGTCAGAGACTTGAAGGACAAGGAGGTTAAGTGACTTGCTCAAGTCATCTAGCAAATTCAGAGGCTGTGCCAGGGTTAGAGCTTTATTTGGCTAAGGTTCCCCTCTGCTGTTCAATTCACTGATCTATGTTCCTTTCCAGCCCACAGTGCTTTACTTCAATATTTTGAAATCATAAACTTAAATGAACCACCTAAATGCCTTTGAACTTACTCTGGCAAGGTGACTGACTACTTAATTACTAGGCTAAGGGTGTAATTAATTATTACATCAATTTCACACAACTGGGTGCCCCGTGGTTTTATTGTCTTTTTCCATGCTGCCATTAACAAAATTAACCCTTGGGAATAGTTACTATTTTAGGCAACTATACAAATTATGCTCTTGGTAGTTTTACAGAAAAAGGTGCCTATCAATTCAGTTATATTTGGCATTCTCTGTGCAATTAGCGGCTTGTTTCTCTGTGACTTTATTTTTACTTCACTAGACTGATGTAGCAGTTAATGTTGGGGAGAGGAATTTTCATAATTTTGGCTTTTAAAATCAAACTTATCACAGATTCTAAAGTTGAGTGATTTAATATTTTATTCAAATATAAGACATGGCAATTACTAAATTTCTATTCACGAATGTTTACTGTAAACCTCTTTTATCCAGAAGTCACCTGTTGAATAACATCAACTTTTCACCCTTTAATTACTAGAGGCTTTCAGGATTAAAAAAAATAAATAAATTATTCAAACCATCTTTGAACTTTGCTATATAATGCAGAGTAGTTTCATAGTACAAAATGATAGTTAACTGGGGAAGAAGTAATATCAGTCTTAGCCCTGTTAAATTGCTATAGCCTAATAATAAATAATTAACAAATCTTTAAGATCAGAAAGATCTAGCATTGGGATCATTTAGAATAAGTACAAATAGGTTTATGTTTTTTTTAGTTTGCAAGGATATCACGGGTTACAGTAAAATATGGTCATGTTATTCCTAAAATTACCTTTGACCGGAAATGGAAATAAAATATTTACTATTAAATTAAAGGAGGTATAAAGTATTTATAAAGATTTTCATTAAAAAATGACTTAAATAAATGTTTTAGAGTCTAAAGAAACTATGATTACACAGAACATTTGCTTATGTGAAAGAATTCACTCTAGCCACATTAAAGTAATTGGGTAACTATTCTGCCACCCCCAGCTGACTTGCAGAAGCTAGAAATAGCACAGCATTGTGAATACCATTGAGTATTTCAAGTATTAAGATGTTCCATGAATCACATAGGTGTGGTACCATTTCCAGTTAAGAGTTGATGACATGGAAGAAAAAGATTTTAAGAAACTGGTCAAAGACTCACATCCTCTGCTCAGATTTAAGATTATAAAGTCTCTTGGCATTCAAGTTTACACATTTGCATGATCAGAGATGTTCTAAGCATTCTCTAAGGGTATCTCTTCTCTCCACTGTGTAACCAAGGTGATGGCCACAGTTATTTTCTTGAAAGAAAAAAATTCAGACGTGGAAAAGAGACAATGAGACCAATTAGTCATAAAGTTTTAAAATATTTGGAAAGTCCTTTTTGGCCTTTTTTTTTTTTTTTTTTTTTTTTTTTGGTCATGAAAGCAATCCAGCTGCCCCTGGGTGCTGTAATGATTTCAACTAACTCTGCTAATCAATTTTATATTAGTCAAAACGGAGCATATATCTTTCAGGTCAAGAGTTTATTTATTTATTTATTTGTTTATTTTTTGAGAAGAAGTTTTGCTCTTGTCCCCCAGGCTGGAGTGCAAAGGTGTGATCTCGGCTCACTGCAACCTCCACCTCCCGGGTTCAAGCGATTCTCCTGTCTCAGCCTCCAGAGTAGCTGGGATTACAGGTGCCTGCCACCACACCCAGCTAATTTTTGTATTTTTAGTAGAGACAGGGTTTCACCATGTTGGCCATGCTGGTCTTGAACTCCTGACCTCAGGTGATCTGCCCGCCTCGACCTCCCAAAGTGCTGGGATTACAGGCGTGAGCCACCGTGCCTGGCGGAGAGTTAATTTCAAAGTGTTAATATTCTGTCCTCCCTTCAGTATTAATAGCTAGAAATATAAAAAGTGAGAATGGTTAAAATCCTTTACAGTCATGATAGTAGGTTTTAATTTCTTTCAGTGATTTCAGTTGCTGTTGTTTAGCTTACAATTAATTTAGCTTCTTTTCAATAACTGATTTCATCCCTTTATGAAAAGTATACTATTTGAACTTAGTAAATAATAGAATTTAGTTTATTCCTGGGTAAATTCATTTATAGCCACATTTTCCTGAGTAAATAAACTGGTAAATTTGTGAATGCTTTCTTGGATCAAGAAGGCAGAAAGAGCTGAAGAGCATGTCCTCTCTACCAAATAAGCATCATATCCCTTTGCTGGTTTTGAATAACTAACAAACAAACAAACAAACAAAATTCCATAGTATCAACTGAACTGTTATGTCCTTGAATTTATTTTTTGAGAAAGAACTAGGCTGACTATATTAAGAGTACTCAAAATGTTATTATGCATCCATAATTATTGAACTCCAAGTGATCTTTTTAAAGGTATCTTCCCCCCATCTTCTTGCTAGTGTAGGCTCTCAGTCATATTTCAGTGTTTCTCACACCAATGTTGCCTCAATGAGGTAGAAGCTAAGCAGTTTTACCAACTAACATAGTATGAATATTTCAACTGTAAGAATGTCATTTCACTTCTTTGTGTTGCATACTTCTTATCTTATTTTGACTCAAGAAGTCTCTTCTTCTGGAAGAGACTGTCCAGATAACAAAGCAGATCTTTTACTACACAGGAATATGCAGCAGCATCTCCGATCATTGTACTTTCATGTTTTCTAGCTTATTCTTATCTTCAGCAGCTGCAAAAATAGTAGCTTGTGCTTTCATTACAAAGTCCATCACTATCCAGTCCATAGCTCCCTGAATCAATAAAAGATAATCTGCAAGGGCAGATTATCTTCAGTGAAGTGGGAAGAAGAAAGGCCAATTTACAAAACATATGGGAAAATCAGTCTCCTCCCATTCATTGTTTAAAACTACTAAAGCATCTGTAGTCAACAGTAAGTGGGGAACTAGTGGAAAAAAGTTTATAATACAAATAAAATAATTAAGGAGAATTTTTCCAATTTGGAAAATTATGAAAAAATGATAGAACCTCTTGATATGTCAGGAGTATGTTGCATTCATCTATGGCATTGTAGATCCAAAGGCCAGGGCTCAACGTAATATGTGTGCCTATATGCCCAACTTTGATGATTACTGTAGCTTTCTCAGATGTCAGACCATTGGACTGAAAAGGCACAGCATTGTAAATCTGTGTAAATTTACAATGGTCTGTCACAACTTGCAAGACTTATTTAGGTTTGGAGGAAAATTATTTATACTTCCCATTTTTACCACACACACATTCACATAGTGATGCTGAAACTGCATTTGCAAAAATTACGACAACGAGATAAATGTGACATAACTGACTTTATCTTGCTTTTAACCTCACAAGCTAACTGCCCTTGCTCATTCCTGGGTGTAAACCAAGCCAACTATGGGAGAAATTTACTTTACGGTTTAACTTTAAAGCAAGGATGATTACAGGCCTTTCCCAAAATTATGCCCCCTCCTTGTTCAGGACTGAAACTACCTTCATAAAACTAATAAAAGGCCACAAGGTTAGAATTATGGTAGAGTCTTGAATTTGCTAAGATCTATGAATAGTTAAGCAATAACCAGCTATTGTTCCCTAGTTTGCTTACTGATCAGGAGTCATGTACCTGGAGGTCACAAGATATATAACTTCTTCAATTACCCCTAATAGATAACATTACTAATGTAAAACCTAAGATTGGTCTTTGAGATATTTTTCAGACTTTTGCATTCTGGTGAACCAACTGATGCCACCCTTTGTATGTGACTCATACAAAGGAACTGACTCAACCGGTCCTGCAACCCCCACCCAGAAACTAACTCAGCACATGAAGACAGTTCTGACACACCTATGATTTCATTCCCAACCAATCAGCAGCACCCTTTCCCTAGCCCCCTGCCTGCCAAATTATCCTTAACAACCCAAGCCTCCAAGTTCTCAGAGAGGCAGATTTCAGAAACATGTCCTGTCTTCCTGCTTGGATGCCCTGCAATAACTAAACTGTTTCTCTACTGCAACATCACTGTCTCAGTGTATTGGCCTTATCTGTACAGCAGATGAGAAGAATCCATTGGGCTGTACCCATGTGAATGCCTATAACTCTTCCAATGTCGTCATGCATTTGAAAGCAATGATAAGACTCGTAGGCCCAAGAGCCATTTCCGTGCTTAGTTACTACATTGGTTAAAGCTTACTTTGGGAAGTTAAAAATATCCTATCATACCAGAAATTACTAAATGATTCACAGTAACACATGCTTTTTAATAAAGGATACCTCACATTGGTACTGTATAATCAGTTTAGCTCTGGGATATTTGCCTCTAAATTCAGCTTAGATAATTAATTTAAAAATTCTTGTTGAAATATTGGGGCCCAGTTGGCCAGGTGCAGTGGCCCATGCCTGTAATCCCAGCACTTTGGGAGGCTGAGGTGAATGGATCACTTGAGGTCAGGAGTTCGAGACCAGCCTGGCCACCATGGTAAAGCCCTATCTCTACTAAAAATACAAAAATTAGCCAGGTGTGGTGGTGGGTGCCTGTAGTCCCAGCTACTCGGGAGGCTGAGGCAGGAGAATTGCTTGAACGTGGGTGGTGGAGGTTGAAGTGAGCCGAGATTGTGCCACTGCACTCCAGCCTGGGCAACAGAGTGAGACTCTGTCTCAAAAAAAAAAAAAAAAGAATATTGGGGCCCAGTTTTACAGGTCCAGTAAAGGTGTTCTTAGTTTAACCAATGCAACTGCAGTAAAAATTAAATTTATGAGCCATATATTTCAGAACCAACAACATATTATGTATTCTCATTTATTCCAACATGTATTATAAATGTAAATTACCATAAATTATGAATTTATTTCAAAATTTAATGTATAGTAGATACATATTTGTGAGTATGACTCCTTCAAAAGATGAACAGTCTTCAAAGACACCATTCAAGTTACTTAATAAGTAATTAATATTCCACACTTAGGAAATCTGCATTTATATTATATGAACTGAGATTAAGACAATAGTAAGAATTTTACATTAAAAAAAAACTGGAGATAACATGAAAATATTGACTTGGAGGTTTCAGAGAGGATGACTACTGAGAATGACTACAAAGGTTATCGCTGGCACTTGCATAGTCAGATTACAACCACACAGCACTTACCGAAGTGAGGTTAATTTAACTAACCCAGATGATGAAATTCCTCAATAACTTACAACACTGCTCCTGTTACAAAATTGTAGTACAGATTTAAAGAATACCAACTCAGGTACAGATGTTTACACACATCTCAAACAAATGTGTTTTTGTTAGTTTTATTCTCAGTGACAGGTAAACACATTTCATGTTTATTAACTCTTCATATATTTAAATAGCCCTAAGTTCCTTCTTAGGCTTCTCTCTTCTTATAAAGATTATGAGTGAAGAGCTTCTATTTCTTGAAGAGAGACTTAAATATACAATCTCATATGCTCACACTCTTCCTACATTGGTCAAAATACCACTTAAAAAATCACAACACTCTTTTGGAAGTAAGTTATTTTTTCTGTCATTACGGACCATTAACCTTTCCAGAGGTATTTCTTTACTGTTTAGTAATATGTTTACATTTTTGTGTAGCTTAACTTTGTGTAATGTGGTACAATGTTTAATCAGAATGCTATAATTCTGTGTGAAGTGGCCTAGGCATGGAGTAAAAATACTCTACTTAAAATACTCACGGCCCCAAAACATTATTTTCTCCAGTGGAAAACATTTCCTAATTCAAATTGTACAATTGTAAAAAAAATGACATTTGGAGCAGGATTTTTTTTTCTTTCTTTTTAAATTTGAAAACACATAATGGTATAAGTTTTTGTCTATTATCCCAACTTTTCCTGAAATCCAAATTCTCTCCATAACATTTACCATCTGTGTTTTGCCAGACAGACATGCTGTAAATAACCACATGCAGTGATGTTAATAAAGAAACCAATGATCCTGTACACAGTCAATTCAAAAACAAATCATAGGTCTTTCACATTTAATCTGTTAACTTCTATCAAGATAGTTAGTTTCTTTTGAGGAAACACTGAACCGGGTAATCACAATTTCTAAAAGGGACATTATATGTTATCGTTCTTGAGATATTTTGCTTGAGAAGTGTTTAAGTAATTTTGCATAGATATGCTCCTTTTTAAATTCACATTTTACTTTTGTGGAAAACAATCAGTCTACATATTTTTCTTTTCCTCTCAGCAGTGATAATCAAGACACAGGCAAAATTGAGCCAATTTTTCAAAACAGTTGAACATATCCAGAGATAAAAGGACTACTTCAAATGAGGGATGACTTTGAGTTATTACTTAAAACATGTTTAATAAGTACAAAATATGTCTCAACTCAGAATTAATGTAGAAACCTCATAATTAATTCATTAATCTATTAAGTGCCTATTATATGGTACTATGGAGGCCAAAAGTAGTGAACTAAAATACTTTAATTGTTTAAAATTCATAATGAGTTAAAAGAACACCGTCATCTTCACAAACACTTTAAAAAAACCATCAGTTTCGATTTTAAAGCAAAAATGAACTTGTTTTCTGCACTTGGGCAGCTTTATGTAGTTTGGGTATTTATGCACATAGGTTGGCTGGATGTGGGTCTTAACATTTATACCTACTTATCTAAAATAAATGTTTCAGAAAATAGAAACGATGTTTAAAAACACACACACAGTTCTCTCTGGATTTATGGACTGTTTTAAATCATGGGCCAGGAATTATACTAGGCATTTAATAGATTGTATCACTATTCAACATGAGTATGCTCTCTTATTGTTATTATTATTTTCAGGTTGAGCCATATGAAATTACTTTTGTAGGTAAAAAATGGTTAGGTATTGACATATTATTATTATTTTTGTTTTAGAGATGGAGTCTAACTCTGTCGCCCAGGTTGGGGTGCAGTGGCGGGATCTTGGCTCACTGCAACCTCTGCCTCCCGGGTTCCAGCAATTCTCCTGCCTCAGCCTCCTGAGTAGCTGGGACTACAGGTGCATGCCGCCACACCGGCTAATTTCTTTTGTATTTTAGTAGAGACAGGGTTTCACTGTGTTGCCCAGGCTTGTCTCGAACTCCTGAGTTCAGGTAATCCGCCCGCCTCGGCCTCCCAAAGTGCTAGAATTACAGGCGTGAACTACCGCACCCGGCCAGCATTGACATATTATTATCCCTATTGTACATATGACTCAGAATGGTTTACATGAGCAGTCAGAATGCATATTCAATGGAGAGCTGGGCTGGGATTCAAATCTAGTATATTTGACACCAAAGCGCGTCCTCCATTCCAATAGGAAAAAACATCCTATGACTTAATGCTATGATATGAATGTATGCGTCCCTACAAAGTCCATGTTGCACCTTAATACCAAACATTGATGGTATTAACAGGTGGGGCCCTTGAGTGGTTATTAGAAGGGGACTAGTGCCCTTATAAAAGGGCTTGAGGGCCGGGTGCAGTGGCTCACATCTGTAATCCCAGCACTTTGGGAGACCAAGGTGGGCGGATCACTTGAGGTCAGGAGTTCGAAACTAGCTTGGCAAACATGGTGAAACCTTGTCTCTACTAAAAATACAAAAATTAGCTCTGCACGGTGGCGGGTGCCTGTAATCCCAGCTACTCGGGAGTCTGAGGCAGGATAATTGCTTGAACCTAGCAGGCGGAGGTTGCAGTGAGCTGAGATTGTGCCACTGCACTCCAACCTGGGTGACAGGGTGAGACTCCTCTTCAAAAACAAAAAAAGGGCTTGAGGGATTGGCTAGTCCCTTCCATTCCTTCTGCCATGTGAAGACACAGCAAGAGGTGCCATTTTTAAAGCAGAGAGCAAGCGTTCACCAGACATCAAGTCTGCTGGCACCTTGATCTTAGACTTTCCAGCCTCCAAAACTGTGAAAAATAAATTTCTACTATTTATAAATTACCCAGTCTGTGATATTTTGTTATAGCATCACAAATGGACTAAGACACTTTTAAAACATGCATTTTCGGTGTTTTTAACTCCTAAATTATGGAGCGAGGTAATTATATGTACAAAAACCTACACAGAAAAAGTTGTAAACTGATCACAATTTCAGGAGAATTCCGATCATTTTAGTGGCTGCTAGGACATGTCATGGTTGGTATCCACTATGCTTCCTTCCTCTACCAATTAAATATTTATTATTCCCACTATTGCCCAACACTATTCTAGATACTATGAATATGGCTATAAACAAAACAGACAAAAATCTCTGCTCTACAGAAACTTACATTTTAGTAGGGGGAAGAGGAACAGGAAACAAGTAAAATAGATATTTCAGATAATAAATATAAAGAGAAAAGTAAAACAGGAGAATGGGGAGTGCTGGATTTGGAGGGATGTAAATTTTCATTTTATTTTATTTTTTGAGACAGAGTCTCACTCTGCTGCCCAGGCTGGAGTGCAGTGGTGCCATCTCAGTTCACTGCAACCTCTGCCTCCCAAGTTCCAGTGATTCTTGTGCCTCAGCCTCCCAAGTAGCTGAGATTACAGGCATGCACCACCACACCTGGCTAATTTTGTTGTATTTTTAGTAGAGATGGGGTTTTGTCATGTTGGCCAGGCTGGTCTCAAAAACTCCTGGCCTCAAGTGATCTGCCTGCCTCCCAAAGTGCTGGGATTACAGGCATGAACCACCATGCCCAGTCTGGAGGGATGTAATTTAAAATAAGGTAGTAAAAGATCTCACAGAGAGGGTAACTTTTGATAACATTTGGTCAGAGACTTAAAAAGAGAAAGGGCAGTAAGCCACATGGAAATGTGTATCAGGACATACCAGACATGGAATAGTAAGTGCAAGGCCCTGTGGCAGGAACCTGCTTGATACATTTCAGAAACAGTGTTCCTGATGCACATATAATAATAGGACATTAAGTCAGATGGCAAGGCAAGGCATGTCTGAAGGAGCCCTGGTCATGGTAGGCCTTTTAATAGATTCTGATGTCTTTGGCAGCCACTGGAGAATACAGAGCAAGAGCAGCACATGATCTAATGTATTTTTGAAAGTGTAACTCTATTCTCTGTTGAGAATAGACTGTAAGCAGAAGCAGGTCAATGGCTAAGAAGCTATGTCAATAATATCAGCAAAAGATGATTATATCTTAAGTTAGAGTGATGGCAATGGAGTTGGTGAGCAGCAGTCAATTCCAAAAAAAAGTGTGCATTTTGAAGAACTAGTAGGATTTTCTGAGACCGCATGTGGGGTATAAGCAAAACTAAGGAGACAAAGAAATTAAAAGAAACTGAGGAGACAAAGAAAGACTAAGGATGATGATGAAGGTGTGTTAAAAGCACTAGAATATAACATAGTCATATCAATTCAGTTTTCTTAGATGCATTTGAACACAAACATATTAAAAATGGTTGAGACATACTATACAGGAGTATTGCAATGAGTAATGCAGTAGTGCAGACTGCACTGATAGTACTATGGAAGTGAGGAGAAATGAAAGAGAAATGTTCTTTGGAGGTGACATTTAAAAATATAACTTAATCTATAACTTATATTAAATAAAATAGTTGTATAGAGAGGTTTTATATTTGTTTTTAAAGAAAACACAATTGAGTAGTTTGGAAATGTTCAGAACTCATCACAGATTTTAAATTTTGTTCTAATCTAAAGAGACGAAATCAAACATCCAAAGGTATTTGCATATTGCAAAGAATTTCCTTTGGATACTGAAGTAGTCACATATATGTAATCAGTGGGATAATATAGCTTTGGCAGAGAAGTTAGTTTCACCACAGTAAAATAAATCATAGCAATGCCAATACTTAAATCAGTCTTTTTGTACTAAACATGTTGCTCACTTTCATATAATGGATTGGCAAACTCTGCTCAACAACGTTGGCCAAGGGAAAAATGTTACGCTATTCCATTTTAAAAGAAATAAAGACAGACTACCTAATTCACTGAGTTTCAAAGGCAAGATAGTTTATCCACTCATGTACTCTGGAAGAAACTTTAACATGTAATAAAATTTTAATGCAAAAAATAGCTATTCACTGGAATGGGAAATGCACTAGCAGATATAATTTCATTGAAGAGGATACTATAAAACTAAAAACTCCCTTAGGAAAAAGCTAAGCCTTTTCAGCCTCAGTCTATTTTACTATATTCAGCACACAGAAGGTGCTCAATCTTTTTTTCTTGTTTTTAAATGAATGAATCCAAGTATTTCAAATAGAGGTCTCTTTGTTAGGCATTACATCATGTGTTACATTCATCTGAAGCATTCTGTGTTTGTTCACATATGATAGCAGCTATATCCTTATGCTTCTTTTTTTTTTTTTGAGACAGAGTTTTGCTTTTGTCGCGCAGGCTGGAGTGCAGTGGCACAATCTCGGCTCACTTCAACCTCCGCCTCCCGGGTTCAAGCGATTCTCTTGCCTCAGCCTCCTGAGTAGCTGGGATTACAAGCATGCACCACCACACCCGGCTAATTTTCGTGTTTTGAGTAGAGATGGGTTTTCACCACATTGGCCAGGTTGGTCTCAAACTCCGGACCCCAGGTGATCCACCCGCCTCAGCCTCCCAAAGTGCTGGGATTATAGGTGTGAGCCACCGTGCCTGGCCGTATTTATTTTTTTAATGCACATATTATTTCTTGTTTTAGCCACTGCACTCCAGCCTGGATGACAGAGAGAGACCCTGTCTCTAAAAAATAAAAAAATGAGAAAACAGTAAAAGGTCAAAATCAGAAGCAGAAATACATAAGGGAACTAATGTGGAAGGTGTAAAGAAAATGCCCAATTTTTATTTAAATGAAAAAGGGGTGCATCTATGAGAATGTCTGTTTCCATATAAGCAATAATTGGTTAAGTCAAGTAAACAGAGTCACTTTATGGATATTTTACTAAGAATCTGAATTTTGTGTTAGGTAGGGAAGATACCGAGAGACTCATGAAATCTGTGGGGCATTCTGAAACAAAGAATTTAATTACAGACTTGTTGAAAATTACACATTTTACACAACAAGCTAAGACCTTTCCCTATATACCCATTCTATCCAAACTTCCCTTTCTTACCCACTCCCATCCTGGGTCCTGGTTCCATTGTGATATTCACAAGCCTCATCCCTTCTACCCAGCCATGGAATTTAGTAACCCAATGTCTAATTCCTAAAGAGCAATTTATAGTCCTTTTTCCACTTCTCTTATAGATGACTAGTCCAGGAATAGCTTTAAAATGTCTCTATCTCTCTCTAAGAATGAGTCTAGATCCCTAATTCCTGTCAAAGTGCTTGATCTTCTCTGAAAGGAGGCCATTAGGGCTAGTATGATTCCAGATCTCTGCTTATATGATTCCAGATCTCAGGACATTGCAAACATAGTTGCAATGTCCTGAGTCCCTTCTTTATTGTATTTCTTGATTTTACAAGCTTGCTGTACAGATTAAATGAGATTTTTTAAAAAAGCCCTAAAACATAGTGGTAAAATGTTTTACAAATACAATGGTACAGCATTTTATATATAGATGCAAGACACCAATTGGTTCTATTCAGTAGAATTAACTTCACAAAAACTGACAAATAACATGCTGTTATCAATCAAGTCAACACATTCCTTTATAGCCTTAGAGCTAAACTTTATAAGCAGAAATGGTTTTAAGGTTCTTTGGGGGCTCTTTACAAAAGATAAGCTATTATCCTGAATTATGTTTCATCTTTCCTCATTATTTAGGACCTCATACCTGATCCCAGGAGCAAAAGATGATTCCTGCAGATGTAAGATTAGACTGTGCTACCTAACTTGGAAGTCTTCATGTTTGATAGAAAACCTCCCTGGCAAGTGTCTTTGCCACTAACCTTTCTGGAATACTTTTACATATTATTAAATGCATACGATATAATATTGGAGTAATGTGAGGGCTGAGGGATTCCATAAATCCCCACGTGGTTCAGTGCAGTGGTTCAAAGCATGATCCCAGCTCCTGTTAAAGCACTTAGTGGTTATATGATTTAACCTCTCTAAGCTTCAGATTGTTCTTTTGAAAGACTGGGTTAATAAGACCTACTTAACAAATGGAGTTTTTAATCAGGATAATGTAAGGTAAAGTCTTTAGCTACTCTGTGATCATTTTTATCCCAAGGGTAAGTCTTTGGTAGAAACTATGAGCCTTGTTTATTAGCTATTTCTGCCCACTAAAATCTAACTTTCATGAAAGTTGAAATCCTATCTATGTTGTTGCCTCTGAATATCCAGCGCTTTTAACAGGGCTTGGCACTCAATAGTCCCTCACTAAATATTTGCTGAAAGAGTAACTTACTAAATAAATGTAAAAATGATCAGCAAATTTCTTCATGCCTACTTGTCCTTTATCATTAGCCTACAAACTTGATCTAGACTCATTCATCCTAAAACATAAACAAAACAAAACTCAACCCTCCCTTGACCATGTATCTCCCTTTAGACATAGTCTTAAAACTGGTCTAACCATCTTTGGTCTTATAGCCTTCAAATACATATGCCACAGAATCACCAGAGTGTTCTACCTATGGACATCTTACCACATCTTTCCTCTGCTTAAAACTTTCTGATATTCCTCAGGTGCTTGGTACATTATCTTGCAGAATCATCCTTGTCTATGATGTATGCCTCTCATCTCTTAATATTAGATCAGCTCAAGCTCCTTCATATGGCTCAATGCTCCCATAACTAGCACCTTCCCTCCTCTCAAGCTTGATCTGCTACCACTCTCCAACTTGCATTTCATTCTTCAGTAATATCCTGACTGCCTGCAATACCTCAGACATACCATGCTTTGTTTCTGTGCCTTCTATTGGTAATGTTTCTCCTCTCGCACCTTCTTCACCTGGTTAATAGTACCTTCCCCTTTAAAGCTAAGTTCAGGAGTTTTATCTTTGAGGAGTCCTTTCAGAATGACCATTGGTGAAGAGATATGAAGAGTGAATGAACTCTCTCAGATTAGACCAGCTTTCTATAAACTCAATTTTCAGAAGAAAGTCACAAAAAAGAGATTAAGTAGTTCCTCCTTTGATTTTTTTTTTTTTAAGAGACAGAGTCTAGCTCTGTCATCCAGGCTGGAGTGAGTGCAGTAGTGCAGTCATAGCTCGCTGTGGTATTGAACTCCTGGCCTCCTCTTGCCTCAGCCTCTCGAGTAGGTGGGACTACAGGTGTGTGCCACCATGCCTAATTTTTATAAATTCTTTTTTTGTAGAGATGGGGTCTTGTTATATTGCCGAGGCTGGTCTCAAACTCCTGGCCTCAAAAGATCCTCTGGCCTCAGCATCCCAAAATGTTGGGATTACGGGTATGAGCCACTGGGCTTGGGTGATTATAATCTTTTCTTACCTCAGAACTATTAAGAAAACTCAATATTTCAGTTTTAATATATTGCAGAACTTTGGAAAGGAAAACTCACAGCAAAGACACAGACAGAAAATGTGTGCCATTACATCTATCCAATACATTGATTGCATTTTTACTTTATGGCCAAAAATACCTCCAAGTACAAGAATATTAAGCCTGAATCCTTGGCATGTTTATGTTTTTCTTATACCCAATCTCTGCTTCCTGATGCTATACTTACATGATAGCCAATGCTGTTAAATTATTTTTTAATATAACAACAAAGCTTGGAAATGTTTAGGAAAGCTGCCTTGTTGAGTTTCCCTCCCTGGACTGAACACAACTATTGTAGTTTAGTTAAGTGCTATTGATCACGATTCACTCTCTATTGATTTATACTAGAATACAGTCCCTATAATCCACTCAGAATTAGCCCAGTCCGTTTGAAACTCTCTCAATCATTTGTGTCTTTGCCTGCAACATTATCTTGTAGAATCATCTTTCTTTTCTAAATCTTCTAGAGTCTAGTTAGAAGACTATACATTACAGGTGTTCATAAAATATTTGTTGCACTAAATTGAAAAGTGAAAATACCACTGTTTCGGATGTGAAAAATAAAAATTCTTTATTTCTACACAAGCTCTTTCATTAAGCTCCTCACTGAATAATGTCTTCTCTGCTTTCACTTGCTAATATCTTGCTTTTCCTTACTTTATCATCTATCATATTAGCTTGAGATAAAATCACCTGTAACCTGGTGGGATATTAAAATTGCACAGGATTGAGATTAATTTCTTAAATACTTTAGACCTAATTCCTCCTGACCAAATCAAGGGGGTTATAGCAGAAATCCATAGCAGAAAATAAAATTAGGGCCACTCCACTTACTCACAAAAAGAATCATGATATAGACATATAACTTTACATAATTTATAGATATATTTATTGGTATAAAATAATACAAACTCAGCAAAGGAGACATTATTTCACTCAAGCAATTATTTTACTCTAATAAATAATTTCAGAATTACATAAAATTCATAGTTAAGAAAAACATAGCAAATAATTAGGATTTAACTTCTATATAGAAATGAATGAGCTCAAATATTAATTTAATTTTAGATATTAAAGAAATTTTGTATGGAAACTTTAGAAACATAAAATTTGACCTCATAATAATTCTCACTGGAATGTGTTTAAAGTAGTAACTTTATAGTCCTATAGTGCTATTGATAACATTTTGGATATTCAGGTTGGTGAACACCATTTTTTCCCAGTTTTAATAAGATTTCCTAAAACTGTAGCAGTGTATTGTTTCTTTAAACTTTGAGTTAAATGTCTTTCTGTGACTGCTTGAATAGTTTATATTATTAACATCTAATTGTTTTATAATAATATGTATTAGAATGTATCATTTTATATAAAGAGATCTTACAATAATCTATTAATAGTATTGCATCACAGTAGAGTAGAAAAAGAGCTTAAAAGTCTGTATTATTGATTTCAATATCTACATTCTGCTGTTATGAGGAAACCTGAGCCACAGGTAAATTATGTAACTTGCTCAAATATAGATTTCAGATTCAAATCAGATCCTTGCTGACATTTTATATTTTACATCACTTAAAAAAAGTGATAAAGCCATAATCTGAAAAAATAAAGAAGATAGAAGGAATAATATTTTAAAATTTACACAAACCTTAGATTTAGTAGCTTATTAAATTGGACAATTTTTGTTAGGTAATGGGAAAAAAATAGATACATGAACAAAAATGAGAAAGTTTTATAATCAACATTTATGTAACTATATTATAAAGTAAATTATATTTGGATAACTATGAAATTTTTGATTACACAAAGTGTGAGTCTGATTACCTCTTGTATTTTTAACTCCCACATAAAGTAATATCTATGAATAGTTAACCCATTTATGCTGGAGGTTGCAATTTTTTGAATTTTTGCGTGAGTGGAAAATCAGACCTTAGCGATGACCTTGAGCAGTAGGATATAAATAACTCTCACATGCTTAGCGTTTCGATAATGGAACAGTAGGTATAAGTGGGTAAATGTCAGGTTTTTAAACTCTGAATTCTTAAAGTTAATTCTTAAAGTGAATTCACAGTTTAAAAACTGATTGATAGCTCAATCAAAGTTTAGAATCTGATGGAAGAAATCTTACAACATATATATGCCTTTAGAGTTTATGTAGTTTTTTATAAAACAATGCTACATTATTTTTGCTGTGGATAGTTCTAAAACTCATTACAGGGTTTCACAAACTCACAAGAAAAGCTATTTATAGAAATTTTGAGCAGAAAAACTTTATTACTATAGAGTGAGCTGATGTTTTCCTAATGTTAAAATGAGAAGTTACATGTTTTTGTTTGTTGGTTCCATTTGTCTTGATTTTGGACCTTGTTTTAAAATGGGGTTGGCAACAGTTTGACCCTGTATTTTGTTAGCAGAGCTAAACAAGCTTGAGGTTATCACTGAAAACTTAGGATAACTTGGCAGGACTCAAGCAATAAAGAGAAAAATTGAGTATAGAGGTAAAATAGAAGAAATATATAAAAATAGAGAAAATGAAACTGTGTTACATTAGTGGTGGAATAGAATAAATTCTGCATCAGTCATATAAGTTACTAATTCTGATACAACACTTAAAAAATCAGCAGGTAGTATATGCGGACAGTAATTTTTCTTTTTTTTTTATTATACTTTAAGTTTTAGGGTACATGTGCACATCGTGCAGGTTAGTTACATATGTATACATGTGCCATGCTGGTGCGCTGCACCCACTAACTCGTCATCTAGCATTAGGTATATCTCCCGATGCTATCCCTCCCCCCTCCCCCCACCCCACAACAGTCCCCAGAGTGTGATAGTCCCCTTCCTGTGTCTATGTGATCTCATAGTTCAATTCCCACCTATGAGTGAGAATATGCGGTGTTTGGTTTTTTTGTTCTTGCGATAGTTTACTGAGAATGATGATTTCCAATTTCATCCATGTCCCTACAAAGGACATGAACTCATCATTTTTTTATGGCTGCAAAGAATTCCATGGTGTATATGTGCCACATTTTCTTAATCCAGTCTATCATTGTTGGACATTTGGGTTGGTTCCAAGTCTTTGCTATTGTGAATAATGCCGCAATAAACATACGTGTGCATGTGTCTTTATAGCAGCATGATTTATAGTCCTTTGGGTATACACCCAGTAATGGGATGGCTGGGTCAAATGGTATTTCCAGTTCTAGATCCCTGAGGAATCGCCACACTGACTTCCACAATGGTTGAACTAGTTTACAGTCCCACCAACAGTGTAAAAGTGTTCCTATTTCTCCACATCCTCTCCAGCACCTGTTGTTTCCTGACTTTTTAATGATTGCCATTCTAACTGGTGTGAGATGGTATCTCATTGTGGTTTTGATTTGCATTTCTCTGATGGCCAGTGATGATGAGCATTTTTTCATGTGTTTTTTGGCTGCATAAATGTCTTCTTTTGAGAAGTGTCTGTTCATATCCTTTGCCCACTTTTTGATGGGGTTGTTTGTTTTTTTCTTGTAAATGTGTTTGAGTTCATTGTAGATTCTGGATATTAGCCCTTTGTCAGATGAGAAGGTTGCGAAAATTTTCTCCCATTTTGTAGGTTGCCTGTTCACTCTGATGGTAGTTTCTTTTGCTGTGCAGAAGCTCTTTAGTTTAATTAGATCCCATTTGTCAATTTTGGCTTTTGTTGCCATTGCTTTTGGTGTTTTAGACATGAAGTCCTTGCCCATGCTTATGTCGTGAATGGTAATGCCTAGGTTTTCTTCTAGGGGTTTTATGGTTTTAGGTCTAACGTTTAAGTCTTTAATCCATCTTGAATTGATTTTTGTACAAGGTGTAAGGAAGGGATCCAGTTTCAGCTTTCTACATATGGCTAGCCAGTTTTCCCAGCACCATTTATTCAATAGGGAATCCTTTCCCCATTGCTTGTTTTTCTCAGGTTTGTCAAAGATCAGATAGTTGTAGATATGCGGCGTTATTTCTGAGGGCTCTGTTCTGTTCCATTGATCTATATCTCTGTTTTGGTACCAGTACCACGCTGTTTTGGTTACTGTAGCCTTGTAGTATAGTTTGAAGTCAGGTAGTGTGATGCCTCCAGCTTTGTTCTCTTGGCTTAGGACTGACTTGGCGATGCGGGCTCTGTTTTGGTTCATATGAACTTTAAAGTAGTTTTTTCCAATTCTGTGAAGAAAGGCATTGGTAGCTTCATGAGGATGGCATTGAATCTGTAAATTACCTTGGGCAGTATGGTCATTTTCACGATATTGATTCTTCCTACCCATGAGCATGGAATGTTCTTCCATTTGTTTGTATCCTCTTTTATTTCCTTGAGCAGTGGTTTGTAGTTCTCCTTGAAGAGGTCCTTCACATCCCTTGTAAGTTGGATTCCTAGGTATTTTATTCTCTTTGAAGCAATTGTGAATGGGAGTTCACTCAGGATTTGGCTCTCTGTTTGTCTGTTGTTGGTGTATAAGAATGCTTGTGATTTTTGTACATTGATTTTGTATCCTGAGACTTTGCTGAAGTTGCTTATCAGCTTAAGGAGATTTTGGGCTGAGACAATGGGGTTTTCTAGATATACAATCATGTCGTCTGCAAACAGGGACAATTTGACTTCCTCTTTTCCTAATTGAATACCCTTTATTTCCTTCTCCTGCCTGATTGCCCTGGCCAGAACTTCCAACACTATGTTGAATAGGAGTGGTGAGAGAGGGCATCCCTGTCTTGTGCCAGGTTTCAAAGGGAATGCTTCCAGTTTTTGCCCATTCAGTATGATATTGGCTGTGGGTTTGTCATAGATAGCTCTTATTATTTTGAAATACGTCCCATCAATACCTAATTTATTGAGAGTTTTTAGCATGAAGGGTTGTTGAATTTTGTCAAAGGCTTTTTCTGCATCTATTGAGATAATCATGTGGTTTTTGTCTTTGGCTCTGTGTATATGCTGGATTACATTTATTGATTTGCGTATATTGAACCAGCCTTGCATCCCAGGGATGAAGCCCACTTGATCATGGTGGATAAGCTTTTTGACGTGCTGCTGGATTCGTTTTGCCAGTATTTTATTGAGGATTTTTGCATCAATGTTCATCAAGGATATTGGTCTAAAATTCTCTTTTTTTGTTGTGTCTCTGCCTGGCTTTGGTATCAGAATGATGTTGGCCTCAAAATGAGTTAGGGAGGATTCCCTCTTTTTCTATTGATTGGAATAGTTTCAGAAGGAATGGTACCAGTTCCTCCTCGTACCTCTGGTAGAATTCGGCTGTGAATCCATCTGGTCCTGGACTCTTTTTGGTTGGTAAACTATTGATTATTGCCACAATTTCAGAGCCTGTTATTGGTCTATTCAGAGATTCAACTTCTTCCTGGTTTAGTCTTGGGAGGGTGTATGTGTCCAGGAATTTATCCATTTCTTCTAGATTTTCTAGTTTATTTGCGTAGAGCTGTTTGTAGTATTCTCTGATGGTAGTTTCTATTTCTGTGGGATCGGTGGTGATATCCCCTTTATCATTTTTTATTGCGTCTATTTGATTCTTCTCTCTTTTTTTCTTTATTAGTCTTCCTAGCGGTCTATCAATTTTGTTGATCCTTTCAAAAAACCAGCTCCTGGATTCATTAATTTTTTAAAGGGTTTTTTGTGTCTCTATTTCCTTCAGTTCTGCTCTGATTTTAGTTATTTCTTGCCTTCTGCTAGCTTTTGAATGTGTTTGCTCTTGCTTTTCTAGTTCTTTTAATTGTGATGTTAGGGTGTCAATTTTGGATCTTTCCTGCTTTCTCTTTTTGGCATTTAGTGCTATAAATTTCCCTCTACACACTGCTTTGAATGTGTCCCAGAGATTCTGGTATGTTGTGTCTTTGTTCTCGTTGGTTTCAAAGAACATCTTTATTTCTGCCTTCATTTCACTATGTACCCAGTAGTCATTCAGGAGCAGGTTGTTCAGTTTCCATGTAGTTGAGCGGTTTTGAGTGAGATTCTTAATCCTGAGATCGAGTTTGATTGCACTGTGGTCTGAGAGATAGTTTGTTATAATTTCTGTTCTTTTACATTTGCTGAGGAGAGCTTCACTTCCAACTATGTGGTCAATTTTGGAATAGGTGTGGTGTGGTGCTGAAAAAAATGTATATTCTGTTGATTTGGGGTGGAGAGTTCTGTAGATGTCTATTAGGTCCACTTGGTGCAGAGCTGAGTTCAATTCCTGGTTATCCTTGTTGACTTTCTGTCTCGTTGATCTGTCTAATGTTGAGAGTGGGGTGTTAAAGTCTCCCATTATTAATGTGTGGGAGTCTAAGTTTCTTTGTAGGTCACTCAGGACTTGCTTTATGAATCTGGGTGCTCCTGTATTGGGTGCATATATATTTAGGATAGTTAGCTCTTCTTGTTGAATTGATCCCTTTACCATTATGTAATGGCCTTCTTTGTCTCTTTTGATCTTTGTTGGTTTAAAGTCTGTTTTATCAGAGACTAGGATTGCAACCCCTGCCTTTTTTTGTTTTCCATTTGCTTGGTAGATCTTCCTCCATCCTTTTATTTTGAGCCTATGTGTGTCTCTGCACGTGAGATGGGTTTCCTGAATACAGCACACTGATGGGTCTTGACTCTTTATCCAATTTGCCAGTCTGTGTCTTTTAATTGGAGCATTTAGTCCATTTACATTTAAAGTGAATATTGTTATGTGTGAATTTGATCCTGTCATTATGATGTTAGCTGGTTATTTTGCTCGTTAGTTGATGCAGTTTCTTCCTAGTCTCGATGGTCTTTACATTTAGGCATGATTTTGCAGTGGCTGGTACCGGTTGTTCCTTTCCATGTTTAGTGCTTCCTTCAGGAACTCTTGTAAGGCAGGCCTGGTGGTGACAAAATCTCTCAGCATTTGCTTGTCTGTAAAGTATTTTATTTCTCCTTCACTTATGAAGCTTAGTTTGGCTGGATATGAAATTCTGGGTTGAAAATTCTTTTCTTTAAGAATGTTGAATATTGGCCCCTACTCTCTTCTGGCTTGTAGGGTTTCTGCCGAGAGATCAGCTGTTAGTCTGATGGGCTTCCCTTTGAGGGTGACCCGACCTTTCTCTCTGGCTGCCCTTAACATTTTTTCCTTCATTTCAACTTTGGTGAATCTGACAATTATGTGTCTTGGAGTTGCTCTTCTCGAGGAGTATCTTTGTGGTGTTCTCTGTATTTCCTGAATCTGAACGTTGGCCTGCCTTGCCAGATTGGGGAAGTTCTCCTGGATAATATCCTGCAGAGTGTTTTCCAACTTGGTTCCATTCTCCCCATCACTTTCAGGTACACCAATCAGACGTAGATTTGGTCTTTTCACATAGTCCCATATTTCTTGGAGGCTTTGCTCATTTCTTTTTATTCTTTTTTCTCTAAACTTCCCTTCTTGCTTCATTTCATTCATTTCATCTTCCATCACTGACACCCTTTCTTCCAGTTGATCGCATCGGCTCCTGAGGCTTCTGCATTCTTCACGTAGTTCTTGAGCCTTGGTTTTCAGCTCCATCAGCTCCTTTAAGCACTTCTCTGTATTGGTTATTCTAGTTATACCTTCTTCTAAATTTTTTTCAAAGTTTTCAACTTCTTTGCCTTTGGTTTGAATGTCCTCCCGTAGCTCAGAGTAATTTGATCATCTGAAGCCTTCTCTCAGCTCGTCAAAGTCATTCTCCATCCAGCTTTGTTCCGTTGCTGGTGAGGAACTGCGTTCCTTTGGAGGAGGAGAGGCACTCTGCTTTTTAGAGTTTCCAGTTTTTCTTTTCTGTTTTTTCCCCAACTTTGTGGTTTTATCTACTTTTGGTCTTTGATGATGGTGATATACAGATGGACTTCTGGTGTGGAAGTCCTTTCTGTTTGTTAGTTTTCCTTCTAACAGAGAGGACCCTCAGCTGCAGGTCTGTTGGAGTACCCTGCCGTGTGAGGTGTCAGTGTGCCCCTGCTGGGGGGTGCCTCCCAGTTAGGCTGCTCGGGGGTCAGGGGTCAGGGACCCACTTGAGGAGGCAGTCTGCCTGTTCTCAGATCTCCAGCTGCGTGCTGGGAGAACCACTGCTCTCTTCAAAGCTGTCAGACAGGGACATTTAAGTCTGCAGAGATTACTGCTGTCTTTTTGTTTGTCTGTGTCCTGCCCCCAGAGGTGGAGCCTACAGAGGCAGGCAGGCCTCCTTGAGCTGTGGTGGGCTCCACCCAGTTCGAGCTTCCCGGCTGCTTTGTTTACCTAAGGAAGCCTGGGCAATGGCGGGCGCCCCTCCCCCAGCCTCGCTGCCGCCTTGCAGTTTGATCTCAGACTGCTGTGCTAGCAATCAGGGAGACTCCGTGGGCGTAGGACCCTCCGAGCCAGGTGCGGGATATAATCTCCTGGTGCGCCGTTTTTTAAGCCCGTCGGAAAAGCGCAGTATTCCGGTAGGAGTGACCCGATTTTCCAGGTCCCGTCTGTAACCCCTTTCTTTGACTCAGAAAGGGAACTCCCTGACCCCTTGCGCTTCCCAAGTGAGGCAATGCCTTGCCCTGCTTCGGCTCACGCACGGTGCGCGCACCCACTGACCTGCGCCCACTGTGTGGCACTCCCTAGTGAGATGAACCCGGTACCTCAGATGGAAATGCAGAAATCACCCGTCTTCTGCGTCGCTCAAGCTGGGAGCTGTAGACCAGAGTTGTTCCTATTTGGCCATCTTGGCTCCTCCCCCCAGTAATTTTTCTAAGTAAACTTGTTGTAAAATCAAATTTTGGATTAGAAACCTGAAAGAAGTTATTATACACTACACTACAGTTTCCTCTAAGACATTTTTAACCTAATGGAATGACATAATTATCAAAAGTCCCTCAATAAAATACCCAAGAGTTTCTTAATTTGCAGATTTTTCTGGAAGTGAGAAATGTATGCAAGACAAGTCCTGAAATATAAATTACATGTAGATACCAAGAAGATCAGTACCATGAGATCATCTGCCTTAGGAAATCCCACACAGAAAAGAAGGTTTTCAGTGATCAAACAGAACTTAAGAATAGTTGAATCTGGGTAATCAGTCATCATACTATTCACTAATGTACATATTTATAGAAGACCCACACAGAGAGCTCATTAATCAAGTGATTCTATAAATTAGCTGAGACCACGATATCCAGGTCATCAAACATGAATCACCATTCAAGTAATAAGGGTGCCAACAACTTTGTCCTTAATTGAGACTTTTGCAAACATCCTCATTACTACTACCTAGTAATCAGGAAAAGTAAAAAGGAATTCAAGAAGGATGAAGTCTCCACACACAGTCTCATAGCCATAGAATCTGCTTGTTGTAAAGGGCTCCACTTTCCTAGATGTGTAAGAAGGATGAAATGCAGCAAGAGATCCAAGCTCGTGGTGAATGGTGAGCTGAAGTGAGATACTGGAAACAGGATGGTGACAGAAATGACACAAGGGCATACAGGAGCCCAACTTCAACAGGTGCTGCACAAGAATGCTGGGAAACATAAGCAGATGGACCATATGGACATGTACCCATCAGGAGGAAGTGGGTGACTCTGAACAATGGTGCTGGATGGGTTATGAGGCGGAGAGGCATTGCGGCATACAGCGACAGGTCCTGCAAACTGTGGCTACAGCCACAAACCAAAGGACGGTCTTCACATGTATACAGTGTGGAAAGAACTACTGCTACACATCACTGACTCTAGGCACACCCACACCCCTGGCGAGGAGTGCAGTTTGTACTGTTAACTGCTAATTAAGAGCTAATGATGACAGCTGTTGGATAACACCTTAAATCAATGGAAGTAGCTGTTTTACTGGAAATTGATTAAAAATGGAAATGACTATTTCAACAATTTTTGGCCTAAAGAATTGTATATTTTGAAAACACCAGTTAGTTGTAAGAAGAAAACTTTTTTTCTTATATAGGATGGGCAGTTGTTACCACAGTGCTTCCATGATGGTAATTATGCTTTATTGGGACTCCCATTTGCTTTTTTTTTTTTTTTTTTTTAAAGCAAAGTCTCACTCTGTCACCCAGGCTGGAGTGCAGAGGCACAATCTCGGCTCACTGCAATCTCCACCCACCGGGTTCAAGTGATTCTCATGCCTCAGCCTCCCGAGTTGCTGGGATTACAGGCGCGTACCACAGTGCCCAGCTAATTTTTGTATTTTTAGTGGAGACAGGGTTTCACCATGTCGGTCAGGCTAGTCTTGGACTCCTGACCTCAAGGGATCTGCCTGCCTCAGCCTCCGAAAGTGCTGGGATTACAGGTATGAGCCACCACTCCCAGACTCCCATTTGCTTTTAAACTATTAGTAACTCTCCATGACACTGAGTTTGCTGCTGAGTTTCCTGACATAGCATCATCAGAGATAATATTTGGTTTTAAACACTGAACAAAATTAGAAAGCTGCTCAAGAGGTCAACACTAGGGTGTCAACACATTGCCTTGGAGAAAGAAAACAATGAACTCTGGAAGCTTTTTAAAAAGAAGAGTTGTAAAACAATGCCAGTCCCTTGGGATGATTACGAGCTTGGGAAGAAAAATGTGGTTAGAGCTAAATGTTGAAGGTTTTTAAGAAAAAGGAAATAAAAGAACTTTTAGATTTAAAAAAATGTATTTATTTTGGGTCTCACTTTTTTCCTGGGTTTCACTGAGTTTTTTTTTTTTTAGGTAAAACATGCATATATGTTGGGTTTCACTAATTTTTCTTGATAGTTATTGTATTAAGTAAGATAAATGGGCCTACATTATAGCATAACAAGATTCATATAAAGGGTAGGAAACAGCATTTTGACTCTGGTGCATTCAAATCTCTTGAACATGGCTAGTTCAAAAAGAGAAGCACATGGAAGTCAGGTAAAGAGAAGGGATTCAATAAATATTTGCTGAATGAAGAAACAGCCTAGACACAATTCAAAAGTATTACACAGACTGGGGACATGATTTCTCAATGGAAACTAATTAGAAGAGCTGAAGGAAAATGGGCCTTTAAATCTTGGCTTTCTAAGGTGCTCCAGACTGAGGAACCATTAATCTCTGACTACTTTTGCTTTCTTTTATCTTTCTTTGAGAACAGCTGGCCTTGTCTGCCTTTTCCCATTCAAAGACGCCAGAAAGAAAAACTTTGTTGTTAGTTTACCTCATTTCTTCCTTTGACCGGGTTACCACAGTGTTTAATCCCCTCCTCCAGCAACTCCATGTTTCTTTACATTGGAGAGGACACAGAAGCTGTCCCTGCCAGGTTAGTCCTTGGGGATGGGGCAGAATGTGCACTGCCTTGGTATGGGAGGCATGTGACATGGTATTCAAGGAATCATATACCACCATAAAACAATGTAAGTCTAGGTGCTGGTGTTAGATGCACTATAGCTGGGACAGCCAGCAGCAATGGGTAGAGCAAGTGCTCGCATGCAGAAGTATGTATGGGGGTATGCCTTTAAGAATATGTCAAAAAGTGTGGTGTCTCACTGATCACAATGTTGTCTACAGAAAAGAGAAGGTTGAAAAGTATGTGTGTGGAAGACACAGTTTTGTAGATATGACATGGTTTTGTAGATGGGATACAGTTTTGGTCAGATTATTTAACTGATAGTAATTGTGAGTTCTTGGATGTTAGTTATAGAATGTTAGATATAGGTAAATTTTGGTTTCAACAGAGCTGGACAATAAACACATTCCCTACCAAGCTACTGAGAGCCACAGCAATTCTAAAGTAAAAATAAGAGAGCATAATTATTCACATATAGGGTCTTTCTTGAGGACCATGCACTGATAAATGGAGAGATTCCCACACAAACAGATCATCAGCATAATAAATAATTTAAAATCACTTAAGACCATTTTATCTACCACTTGTCCCAGTAAAAATGATGGGGCCTAGGCAATCTTTCAAAGTGTCTTCTAGTCTTAAAGGTTTCTGATATCATTCAATATTAAAAGGGTTAGTCTCCAGAAGGCTGTCTGGGTCTTACAGAGAACACAAATGAGTCCTAATGGGCTATGGTTATGACATTTTTGGCCAGATCCACACCAGCAAAATTAAGCAGAAACTTAAATAATGTATTTATTAAGGTAATAAAGCTAAGCACTTTGGGTTAAACGATCAACTGGACATTTCTTTTGATCTCAATATGATGCTGAATTCCTCTAATACTTGTATACAGACTCAATGTAATTATAAATACAAATACTATCTCAATTTATGAAATCCCAGAGGCAAGATGAAACCCATATCATTGTTATGATTTGAATTGGAGAACTGTTTTCTAAGAACTGATATTATTATTTCATTTTATCAAAAATAAATTACAAACTACAAGGTAACACTGACAGGAACTCTGTTTATACATTAATGTTTACATAGATTAATAGCAATGATCCTGAACCAATACTTAGTACAGTTGAGTGCCAAATTCAGGTGAGAAAGACCACTTATTAAAACCCTTCTCATGATTACGTTCCTTGGCAGATGAACTGCATATAGTAAGGTGCTGGTATTCTCCTAATTTTATTTGGTTATTTAAAGATTCAGTTTCTCCAGTGGACAATGAACAAGTTTTCTTAGTCTTGCTCAAGGGAAGAATGTGAAAATTCATATGAAACATTTAGCTTAGCTTAAAGAGCTAATGAATCCAAAACACAAAGATAATGCTTCCTGAATCAGTGGGAAAGCTAAATGGCATATCTATTTATTTGGCTAAAAAAAAAGAATATTTTTATCTAATATGACTGGTATCAATGATTCATAAAACTACTTCAGTTCAAATTTTAGCTTAAGTGCAAAGAGTGAGATGAATAGACCTACTAAATAAAATTCTTGACACAGCTATCTACCTTTCCACTGTAAAAAATGACTGACTACCTCTAGCAGAGTTAGGTCAGTGTGCTTAGTTATATAAATAGAGAGTACACTTTAACAGCATCAGCTGTTCTATTCAAACAAAAAGGAAAAAGTCAGCAGAGCTGACTGCCAAGTTGTGATCTACAGCCATTTTTATTTCCTAAATTGACCCCACGTCTCCTTGACCTGAGAATTTCCAAATCCTTTATTCTAAAATATGAATACAACTTTACAAGACTTTATTGTATTAACACTACCTTTAGAATTAAAGCTTATGGTGATACTATTAGGTCAGTAATCTTTTCAGATGAGGTTTAATTAATTTATGGATCATTGCTCCCAATTTATATTTCTTTTCCTTTAATATTTCTGTTTCAAATATCCTACTGTTACCGCTGTTTGTCAGAATATCTTCTAGACAACTGGTCTATAGAGACTGTAGTTATATATAATGAATTACAAAAACAACATAAAACTGCAAATGCAATTGATACAAAAGTAATACTTCTAAAACAGTGATGTGGCCAAAGGAGGTGACCTAACTGCAAATGTGTGTTCAGTATGTGTGTGCAGGGGCACTGAGAAGATGTCTGTAGAAACACTACCAATGACTCATACATGTAGCTAAAAGAACCTTGGCAACCAAAGTGAATGGAGGTCAAGAATACCTTTGGAATGTACACAAAAAGCTAGGATAAAAAGGCGGCCAAATAGAAAATTCTACTGATATTATTTGAGATGACTAAAAGTTAAAAAGTTATTTTTATACTGTATCCTTGAATATAAATTGTTTTCCAGATAGGTTTTATGAATGTACCCAATGTGTATACATTTTATATTACTTTTTGACTGACAAATTTACAATTTGTTATGTTCCTATAACTAGTAACTCATTATTAGTTGTCATTACTGCAATGTGCTAGAATATGCTACATGTCTACAGTTCAAAATATATAAAAGAATATGTAGGAAAAATGACAAAAGTAACATATTGTTGAAATAATTATGTACTTATAAAAATATTTTTTACTCATAAATAAAATATTTTTGTGCTTTAGGATAGGCCTACTTCCTAAACTTATTAGTTATTTGAAGCACTTTTTTTTTCATATATATATGTGAAGCTCTGAGGTAGGATTTTCCATTTCTGGTTAAATCATACCTTTCACATCTTCATCCTCAATTGTTGTATTTGAACTCTCAGTTGACTCCTGATGAGAAGAAAACACATTTTTAGGTTGCACGCAATGAATAGCTTGATTTCCTCCTTAAAAATTGGCTAGTGACATACATATCATGCAAAATTCTTCAGCAGGCTATGTGCATATGCTGACATGCAAATGGACAAACACATTAAGTGGTTTTTAACAGAAATAAAATGTCTGATGCTGCAAACATTTCAAACGGAGTACTCTGGTTGCCTAATCTCCGAAGCTGTATAAATCCAGGTGATTTGTAGAAGCAGCGGAAGTATGCAGTTTATTTTAGAAACTGTGTAAGGATGTGTTTTGTGTTACAGTGCCCTATAAGGTTTGCTTTTTCTGTGTGTCTACAAGCAATTGAATATGTTAGCCGAATGAATTTGATACTTAAAATAGAAAAAATTTCTATTCCCAATTAATTAATCAATAAAGAGTACCTTCTTTGCGTCAGGCACTATGTTAAGGCCTGTATGCCTTACACCTTTATAGGGAGAGAAAGCATTTCACCGCATCATTTAATGAAGAAGCTAAGGGGGTTAAGCTGAGATATGCTGAAAGTACTTTTGAGAAGAATTTTCATGTTTGTCCTCAGCACAATGGAATTATAATGAATAATTTACTTTCAAGGACAATTAGACTTTTTTCATTCTTTTCAAAAATAGCAACTGGCTGTTATTGATAAGAAACCTACTCCATAATAAAAAGACAAAGCTCTTTCTTTGTAAAACTACAAATTAAGTGGAAGATTGTTAAGCACACTTAAAAGTACACTGTAACTGCCAGAATTAAGATACATTTCTTAAAATGGTGTGATAAATGTGCTCATTAATAATGTATGAGTAAAATATTTTCTAGCAAATAAATTTTGCAATATTCATAAGAAAGACATAGTTTTCTACTTGGAATGATTAAATGCTAGAGCCAAAAATAACTGGAAACAAACTTCCAATCAATAGCTCAGTAATGGAAAACAGATTCTGGAAAATAATGTAAACACCAGCCAGTATCATTTTAGAGATTCAGTATTCAAAAAAGTGATCAATTTATATAAATATCATATACAATATTTAAACCAAGGGAAAAACTAATTAAAGGTGTACCCAGAGTCTCCATACACACAAAACCAAAGAAAGGAATCTTCATGCATTTCTTAATGTGACCTAGTATTCAAATGTAAGCTGAAAATGAAGGTAAACCCATGCACTGTAAAATTAAACTAATTCATGTCAGCAAGAAATATCATGCAGCAACTCTTACAAATGATATAGCTAGAACTACTGAAGTGTCCATTCCAGCTGTTATGCTTGGCGTTTCATTGGCTAATGCTATTAAAAAAATTGTTCTCATATGTGATGGTCCTGACTACCTCAAGGCTTTTCGGGACCTAGACCATTTGCAGTGTCATGACTATAAAATAAATCTCATATTAAAGAACATAACACTTCATGTTTTTTACTTTAATGGTTTTAATATTGATCAATTAAATGTTAAACCAGAGAGGAAATGTGTTTTCTGAGTCTTAAGATAAAATGTGCTTTCTAAGTCTTAAACATCATTGATAAGAGTATGGAGAAGATGCATGACTATATCTAATATTTGAGAAAAGTTTAGTATTTTTTCTTCCCTTAGAGATATAATAATATATGAAAAGTAAGAAATTGGACACATGGAATACATTCAGAAAAGGTCTTTCATCCTATAGACATGTATGCTAGTGCTGTTATTTAGTTAACATGCTATACAAATAATTTACAATGTATAGGAAACATTTAGTCTTCTTTCAACCTAAGTAGTTAAACCCCTGTTACTGGAATATATATTACTCAACAACAAACATATTTCACAAAAAGTGAAACTCCTTGATTCACCTCAAATTCATGCCAAACAACAACAACAACAACAACAATAACAACAATAACAACATCATCACCAACAAGGAATTAAGAAACCAAAAACCAAAAAAAAAAAAAACACCACTCTGACAACAGAATAGAATAAAACTCAAAAGTAACACTAAACAAAAAAAAAAACCTATAAAGTCAAGTTGATATTTTTGAAGACAATGGAATATTGCCAGAAATTCTAAAATATCATGCACAATATATCTACAGTACAAAGCACAAAGTCATGGGGAAAAAAATGACCAGATGGAATTGCTTAAGACACACAGTCATCTTGACATAAAGACTTCATTCATGTTTAGCCTGACTTTTATTGACTCATGGTAACATTAGTTTCTCTTTCAAGATGTCATTCATTTTTATTTGCAAGAAGTATGTCCATAGTTCTAGATAAATTAGGCCCAAAAGGAAGTGTGGTAGAAAATGGTTAGAATTTTCTTTCCTATTTTTAGATAACGAATTAATTTTTTTGAATATTTGATGAGATGTATAGTCTTGTTAAAGCAAGATGATGTTGATTCTTTCTGAATACCTTGTTTCCATCAGGGTTGTGGATTACAGTAGTTTGGGGCTCCTGAGTGAGAACAAAATAGAGAAAGAAACAGTTCGCATTGGTAAGTACATTCTTTCTAGTGTGAAGGACAGAGCAGAGTGAGCCAGCTGACAAAATGAAATAGTGACAAGAGCTAAAGCGATGTTAACTGCTGTCAGAGTTGCAGCTGACAATATCTCTGATGAAAGATCTCCCTGGCGAGGCCATGAGATAGGAACCTCCCTACCCAGAAGCAGCATGCAAAAGACCTTATTCTTGATCAGCATTCAAACAAGGCTTTGATATTTAGAGATCTGAAGAGGCACTCACTGTTTCACTTAATCCTATGCTTTCCTTTCTTCTTTAATGAGTGGCCTGTGAACGTCTGTCCCATAGAGAACTGGCCAAGGACACTGGAGCTAAAACTCTGAGATGATTTCAAATTCTCAGAGAAGATATTTTTTCAGTTATATTGGTTTGAAACTCGATTATGGTGTCATTAATTAATACGTAACTGAATACCCTTATAAAATCTAGAGCCATTGGACAACACTTAAAAAAAGACTATACTAAAGAATCCATTTCAAAAGACCATAAAAAAATTTTAAGGAACATTTAAAAAGTTTAAGGGACTAATCATGAACTAGAACTAATCTACTAATCTAGAACTAATCATGTAATCACTATAATTTGAGGCATACTGCTATTAAATCCTGTATTAATTCATATCTAAAAAACTTCTACTTTATGGACTATATATACAGGATATCTGGCTATAAAGTCATGCTTTTTTATGAAGAAAGTATGGGTTTTCTATTGTTTTCTATCAGAAAGCAAAGAAATATTCCCAAGTGGAGAATAACATTCAAATAACTGATGTAAAAAAAGATTCAATATGCATACATCAGTGACATGCTTGGCACTTTCATTGTGTGATATCTTGGCAATGGGGAGGTACTGCAACCCACTGGGAGTTCTCAATCATGGACACTCCCCCACCACTACAGTTTACACTGCTGTAATATTGAGAGACATATCTCCTGCTTCCATTCTCCCTTTCCCTTGGCTACAGCTGTGATCAACATTGTTTTTTACTAGTAGATAACCTGTTATTTTGATGTGTCCTCCTTTTAAATGTTTTTAAATGGAGCCTCATGGTTAACTCAAGTGAAATGATTCCTTAACATTTTTAAATTTATTTAAAATAACAGTATGAGAAGAGCAAATAATTGAAAAACATTTCTGAAAATCATAAATCAAAATATGAAACAGTTTAGGGAAAATGTTATGGAACTCAGCACTGAATGACAGTATTCAAATTCTGAATTTTAACATAATACCATCTCAAAGTGTTAGACTAATTTAGTCGTTAATTGTGTGGATTTGATTGAGATAGACATAACTGGTTTCCACTGATAATTCAAACCTCTATTCTTTGCAGTTTCATTCTTTGGATTAAAGTGAAACAGTGAAAATTTAATTTAAAACATAATAAACAGAAAGCTCTAAATTATCCAGTGCCTCTTTATCTCAGAAAGTGAAGTCTTACAAAGCCCTGTTGTGTTTTAATAAGAGGGAAACGAGAACTCTGAATAAGGTCTACTTTCATGTTGTCTAGCAACAATCCCATTAGCTCTCCTTGATGTAAGCATTTGCATCATGAAAAGAAGAAACCATTGTTTGCATAATCTAGAACTATCATCATCAGAAGAGCTAAGAGCAACCAAAGCGCTGTATTTTGAATGCAGCATGCAGTAATTCCAACTACAGAGACCACAGCTATCAGTACAATGTTCAACAACGAAATGAGATAATCTCATGTTAGAACACACTGCTTGACAACTAACTTAACCAAAAAAAACCAAAAGAAATGAACTTGGTCATATCATAGAAAGCAAAAAAAAAAAAAAACAAAACCCAACACCCAACGAAATAAAATATTTATATATATGTATCTATATAGTGAAAGCAAATGAGAGAAACCACAAAAAAAAAAAAATGTAAAGAACTTAAGAAGGGTTACAAAGAGTCCAGGTATACCAGCGCTGGGGTAGGAATATTTTCTTTGGGGCTGGTTACCACGTTGGCTTTGTTGTTTATCTGTGGGTATGCAGAAAATAGAAACAGAGATGCCTTAAACCCCTTGGTAGCCAATGTCTCTAGATGCAGCATGTCTACATAGAGATGTAGACATGAAGATAAAGAGCCACTGAAGATGAACGTGAAAGACATGGTGATGACTGACAGGAATGATGATCGCTAGTCTCCGATGGTCACACACAGGCTGGACCATGTCCGTGATGGTGCAATGAGAAAACAGACGTGTCTGCTGTTGCTATGCCACCTTAGCAAACAAAGAGCTGCTTCAGTGGAGCTCCAATCAGGTTTCAGAGTATGAAATTAATATAACCATTCTCATACTGTTCAAGTTGGATTCTGTTTCCAAGCTTCCAATTGTTCACAGTTATAAATATATTTCTTTCTTCCCTCATTTTATTCTTGAGCCTGAAGTCACACACACACATACATCTTTCTCTGGGGATCCAGCATTACTTTGCTTAGGAGCAATTAAATTATCCAATGAAAATTTAGATCTTCTGAGAAAACGCTGGTGTCACAATAGCTTTTAAAAATGACAAGTGTAGATCTCCTCTAAAAATTACATCTTCAATTATTAGTGGGGAAATCAAACTTTTTATGTTGAATGTAAAAGGACTTTAATTTTTACAGTTGTGTAAGAGGAAAATACTACATTTTCTGTCAATGTGCTACTGCTATCACTGCAGAATATATTTGGTAATATCATTCCCTTGCTTTAACATAACTGGATTTGACTTTAAAGAATATATCATTACCACTGTGGAAGCTGCGTGGTAAAAGCAACTCAGAGGGTCAATAAGTGTTCTAACGGTCCACAGAGAAGACTCTTTGTAGACAAGTGGCAATCAGAAACTACAACTGAGTCGGGGCACTAAGAATCAAGGACTGAAAAATAATAATCAATCAACATTCTTTTAAACTCATGCATGACAACTTACATTACGGTTCTCAAACAAAAATGTAAGGTAACGTTCATTTTCTTATACTATATTATCTAGGTATTTTATTTATTATTTTCTAAAGGAATATACCTCCATGATTTTAATATAAATATAGATAATGATGTAAAGAGAAACATATACTATATAAAATAAATGAGTATCAAATGAGCATTTCAAGTGGTGACACCAGTTTAATTGTTCGGGTTTTCTGGAAGTCTATATCTGATAACTATATATCCTGTCAAAACTAGTATTGAGAGGAAGATAGAAAGTAACATAAATTAATTTAAATATGTAATATTTTTCCTTTCTTTTCATTCCCTTTTGTCTGATTACTGGTATCGTTATTTTTACAATAAGTTGTGACACTGTGCTGCTTGACCCACAGAAAAGGATGAGAAAACTTCTAAACTTTCCTTTACTGGAAAATTCTATAAATGTTGTCATCAATCTATATTCTGCAGATAGTTAAAACCTTTTTTTTCCTTTAAATCAAAGTGCACAGAATTTAACATGATATTTGTGCAAGAGCCAAAGAGATAAGAGGTAAAAAGTCTATTAAAGAGGGATCAAAATTCAGTATTTATGTTAGTACAGGGTACGTGAGAAAAGGGGAGGGATGCACACACGAATAATTTCCTATTCGGGAAACATGCTAGGCAAAACATAGCCGGCTTCCTGTCAAATGAACAGGGGCACTTATGGTTAAAGCACCACATGTATTTAATATGCTATATTTAGTTTTTATCAGTGAATGCAAATGAAAGAAATATTCTGAGATACTTTTATTTCTATTTTGGGATATGATACTTGACTTTTTTCTAGGATGTGGTTGCCAAGAACTGCTTTATTTTAGTGAAAATGTCCCACTTGCACACCTGTGCACACAAACTTATCTGTACAAGTGCACATGTTCCCCCCCCCACACACACACACCTACACACATTCACACACAGATACACAGCATACACACACCATCATCTCTTCCAGATGAAGGCCATTCTGTCTGGGTGAGCCATTCTTTATTGTTAGGTATGGGAAACATGAGTTAAATGAATATGTGCCTCAACCACACTTTTGGTCATGTTTAATATGCAGTTAAAGCTTTTTTGTTAATGTAAAGACTAACTAAATGATTTTTTTCCTATGGAAAATCTTTTGCAGTTATTTATAATATTAATTTATTGAAAAATAATAGGATAATTTCTAAGCAAAAGGCAAGAAGACGTTCTTTTCAAAGAGTCAAATATAAGTATAGGTTCAACCACAAATGTCTTTTTTTTTTTTCTTTGAGATGGAGTTTCGCTCTTGTTGCCCAGGCTGGAGTGCCATGGCGCGATCTCGGCTCACTGAAACCTCTGCCTTCTGGGTTCAAGTGATTCTCCCGCCTCAGCCTCCCCAGTAGCTGGGATTACAGGTACGGCCACCACACTTGGCTAATTTCTGTTTTTTGTTTGTTTGTTTTTTTTTTTAGTAGAGATGGGGTTTTACCGTGTTGGCCAGGCTGGTCTCGAACTCCTGATCTCAGGTGATCCGTCTGTCTCAACCTCTCAAACTGCTGGGATTACAGGTGTGAGACACCGCTCCTGGCCCATAGATGTCTTTTAAAAATACAAAAACTCTGGCACTTTTGTGTGATATAATTATTTTATGTTAATAGAAGCAAGGTGTTTTTCTTTTTTAAAAAATCATGAATCAATCAAATCAGATAATTGTATGATGCACTGAATTACTCTTATGAGGCATGGGCAAGATATTCCTATTTCTCAGGTGTTAAATTTATTGTTTGAAGGTTAATAAACATTTCCTTTAAAGGTACTTAACTAGGATTGGTACATTGTAAGATCACTTTCACACCTTTATAAACTCCATGGTGAATGTATTATGGTGTCCTATAAATCACTCCTATTTTAGCAACCATAAAGAACATTAAAAAAAACATATAGTTTTTTGTTTGTTTGTTTTTACTGATCACTATACAGACATTCATTCTGTCATGGTCTTTTTATTTTCAAAGAGAAAATTGACTTTGTAAAAGAGCAAACCTCTTAATATACTATCTACATGTATAACAAATTCAATTTCAGAGAAAAAACAATGTAATATGTAAGAGAAGTACCGTGTTTTGATAGTTGACTAACACTGACCTGTAATGGTCCTACACCCTCTCCACTTACTTACACTATCTTAGGTAAATAAGACTTTTATTCCTAAGTGTGAATTTTCACAGGAGGAGAAATCTGGCAGATAGATCCTCACCATCATCTGAACACTCGAACTGGACTTCCTTTTCTGAATTGACCAGTCAAAGAGAAAGGAAAAGAAAAAAAAATATGACCGGTTGAATTTAGAGTATCAAAGCATGGAGTATAGAATAATTTTGTTTTTAAAGAGGAGCTATAAGTTGAATGGAAGGAAAAAGTTCTGGAAATGCGTTCTATGTAAGGATAGTAATGAAAATAAATATCTCAATAGGAACTGTGAGCTCTCCATCACTGAACGGTACAGGAAAGCCCAGGAGAAGAAAATGTTTGGAAAATGTAAGATACCACATTTCTACTATTGTAACATTGGGAAAAAGGCAGTCATCAACTATCATTCTTAAAATCTAAATGGAATAAACTAATCAGAATGAAGACACAATTGCAGGCTGAGGAAAGCAATTGGTAAATGGAAATGGCATCCTAAAGGAAATCACAAATGCACAGTCATCAGTGCTCCAGAAATTTCCAAGTTGCACACAGACAGGTGGTAAAGAAATGACTGAGCATGAACATTTAAAGTGACAAATGATTTTCTATGTTTTCAATATGAACTGACCACCTGACTTTGGGTCAAATTCAAATGTTAGAAAATTAATTAATTCCCAAGAACGTTGAAGTGTTGATGAAGAATGTATGCATCTGTCCTTGGAAGAGAAAGAAAAGGATTAAAGAAATAAAACATTTAGGTGGTACTCTGAAAAGATAACAAACATCATTATGTACCATAAGATTACATTCCAACAAGAGTAAATCCCCTTGAAACAAAATACAATCAGTAGGAAAGAAACTGTATTATTTTGTTTAGAAAGCCAGAAAGTAAAAATATCCTGCTGTTATTTTTCTTGCAAGATTTTTCTAATATTTGTTCAGATCATTCATCTTGAATATATCTCAACACCTTATGACAGAAACAAGGAATAATTAAGACCTTTATAAAAACTGCCCAAGCAGATTAATTTAGACATTTGACATTCTATTTTCCATACCCAAATGTGAGTATTTTTCAGGCTATATATTTCAGTGGCCTTCACGTATGCAGCATAATTATTTGGAAAAGCATTTGGTTTTTACAGACTTTTAGGTCACCATGGTAGTTTGGAACTGTAGTAAATCAGAGAGATTAAGACATTTAATTATTTCTATAGGAACTCTATATTGTATAACAACATTATTTTTTCATGACTATTTCATATATAATCCAACAGGAGAAATACAGCTTTTCTTGATATAAATGTTAGTCATCTTTGTATATTAAATCATTTCATATTTCAACCTGCAACCTTTATCAGAAACAATAAAAAATAGAACTTGCAAAGACTTAGGAATTATATATAACATTTAAAGATTATCCAGCATCTGAAAGTCAGAAATGGATTAGGGGCATCTGTTTAACTTACCTTTACTCCATCTGGTTTCTTCAACAAACTCTTGGCTGCTGTAAAATGAGAGTAAAATCAGTTTAGTGAGTTATCCATAGAAACCCACAGCCAGACAACAAAGCAGTCAGGTTATTGTCTCCTTCTACCACCTTTGCTGAGTTCTGGCCAACATATGGCAAGTTATCAAAGTCACACTGATGAACGCGAGCTTACAGGACATTGAAATACAGTATCACTTTTCTTGGTTTGCCACAGCAAATTTAGAACTAAAGAGTAGTTCGTTGCATACAATTGAATACTTTGCCAGTTGTGTTTATTGGACTTTATTTCACTGTTGGTTGTGAAAAGGATACTGGAACTTTAACTGGACTATCCTTTTGTAATCCAGAAAGTTGAATTCAGTCTTTGGACATCAGCTGACTGACAGATTGTATTACATGTTCATTCACACCACATATGGTGACCATGTCAGTTCTGCCATTTAAGCCCTGCTTTCCAGAGGTTGAAAATTCATTTGTAAAATTTGCTCTGGCTAAATAACATCTTCATTACATTCTTGAAGTCAGACAATTTGGTTTTACAAAAAATATTACTATTTAAATAAAATGGCATATTATTGGCTTAGAGCAAATTTTTAAAATGTTTAGCACATGATCTCTAAAAAATGGCATTATGTATTCTTTTATACATTAAAATCAGAATACAAAGGCTTCATAAACAAAAGCCTTTACAATGAAAAAGTAAAAATCATAAAATTTGAGACAACATAAAACCAGAATAAAATCTTCAACGAAATTAGAGAAATCTTAAAGCATATGGGTCTTATATGAAACTTCATTTTTTTTGGAAGGGAGCTTTTAACATTCCTTCTGTTACTAAACTTCTTGAGTATATGAAAAGGTGAAGTCACCCTTTCAGAAAAATCTACTAAGGAATGTGTAGATACACAGTGAAGAGATAATATAACTGTCAATGACAATTAGTACACCAAGTGTAGAACATTCACAAATATGCAGGACATGATACACACTTATGCTTTCATTTAATATTAATTACATATACTTATTTAAGTATATCAGAATAGAATTTGGCTTCGAAAGTGGAAATACCTAGCTAGAATAGAACTGCATGAACATGTAATTTCCTGACATTCATTGATTTGGGCCATTATTTCAATATCATATTGGTATATTTTTAAATTTACTTAAAAGATACAAAAATGTTAACTTCATTAATCTTTAGCAACACAGCTATTAATTTATTATTAATTGAGATTGTAAGAAATAGTTGCCTTAGCCATTATATTGTTTGCCTGGAGCTAAAAAGCAGTATTAAATCAATCCTGTGGCAGTTAATAGGTTAGAAAGCAAACTCAGAATAATTGAAATTGCAATAGCAAGCAAAGAGAAGATGATGATTCAGGGTAAGCAGGGATTTGGCCTGGGAGATGCAAAAATGTCCCTTTTGGTTACTATTCACCTTACCTCACAAGAAATACATTCCACATAAAGGGAGAAAAGAAAAAATAAAAACAACAACTTTATAACCATATACTTATGGATAAATTACTTTAAAGAGCATGTTTGGCAATGAAATAGGATGAATAAAATACTCTAAAATGCAGTATCAAGTACAAGATGTTGTAACTGGGTCTAATATTCTTCAGTTGATTTTGAAGTGATGGATTAAAAAAATTGCTTTTTCATGCTAAGACAATCAGAAACAATATAAAATTCACATATTAGTCATGAGTTTTTAGTTTACATGATGATGAAAAGGAAACTGTGAGGTAAACAAAAAGCTTCTATATATGGGTACATACATTAATAAAGGCCCAATTTATGCCCAAGAGTGTATTTAACACTTCTTTAACAAAATGTACAGTTTTAAATGTGAAGATTTTTTAAAGTTTGGGTTAGTTTGCCATTAACAATTTATGCTATATAAATCACTCTACCTTTTAATGATTCACTAATTACTGGGCCACAGTGAAATTTATTTGAATATCATATATATGAATTAATATTTAATGATATGGCATTGAACTCACCCATATAAATGTCAACTATATTAATCAATGGTTTATGAAACAGGTAACTTGACAAAGGCAGCAACAAGGTATTATTACACTAAATGAATTGGACAAAATACATACAACTGGCCAACACAGTCCCTCAATTCGTAGCATTATTCATTGTACTACTGTTGTTGCTATTTTTTAACAGCCTTTGAAAGGCCTCTTATGGTTTCCCATTATTTGTAATGAAATGCAAAGGTGGGGAGAAAGGTGACCACTTAATGCAGTTGTAAATAATAACTAGATATTGGTTGAAGAGCATTTAATAATGATATGATGGATTATTACCTGATAACACTATAACACCCAGGCTAAGTATGTAGCAGAAAACAAAATAAAGAATTGAAAAAATAGCTGGACAGTTTGATGCTGCAGATCACTGTTATGTAAACTGTATCCAAACTAAACTGGTAGTATTTTTGGCTGACAAGTGTTCCAAGTCTAAAGGGCCAAAGGTTACCAAGTGCGGCTTAATTGCTGCTCCAGTCCTTCCCCCTACATAAGACTGCTTAGCATTGAACAAGATTTGACTTTTGGGAACCTGGTCCTTTGAGACAATCTATCAAAGAAGGAGGTTGCAAAACTCAAGTAATTTCTTGGAGTAATATATACTTTATCTCCACTTTTAGAGAGTGACGCTTACAATAAAGAAATGGCTTGGCTTCTTTAAGCCTATTATTTAACAAACTTATTTTTACCATGGAATCATTTTGAGGGACATTTATTATGCTCTGATAGTACTGAGTGCAAGGTGCTCTGTAAATTCTTGAGTTAGATACCTTTGACAGTTGTAATCACTTTTATAGTACACCAAGAAAATACTATACTTTTGAATGAACTTAGGTCTAAGAGAACTGGGTTCCTCAATAATGGTCTTCCCTTTTTTTTGTTTTTTGAGACGGAGTCTCGCTCTGTCGCCAGGCTGGAGTGCAGTGGCGTGATCTCTGCTCACTACAACCTCCACCTCCCTGGTTCAAGTGATTCTCCTGCCTCAGCCTCCCAAGTAGCTGGGACAACAGGCACGCGCCACCACACTCAGCTAATTTTTGTATTTTTAGTAGAGACGGGGTTTCACCATGTTGGCCAGGATGATCTTGATCTCTTGACCTTGTGATCCACCTGCCTCGGCCTCCCAAAGTGCTGGGATTACAGGCGTGAGCCACCACGCCCGGCCAATAATGGTCTTCTTTTAAAAATCTTGCATACTAGGATTCCCTATGAAAATGAGACCAAAAATAACTTATTCAAAGTTATTACTTTATGAAATATCAGTAATAAATTCTAGGTTTGAAACGCTGAGATCGTAAATGAGGGAGTATTTATTTCCACAACTCGTGCGCACCCCAGCACTTGACAGATGAGGCTAGTCCTGCACCAGCACTGACTGGTGGCCACTGCTGCCAGAAGCAGTCTTGTGAGGGGTTCAGTCACGGAGGCTCGGCAGCAGACAGCACCCAGGTAGACTGCTAATGGCAGCCATAGGTGTAGAAGGAATCTGTGCCACACATTTGCCACCCCTGAACAATGAAGTTTTTCTAATTATTAGATTTTTAAAATTCCAGAGACAAAAAAACAGAGACTACTTAAAAAGAAGACCAAGGGATAAGAAGCAGAGTTCCCAATGCATGTACCTGAGAAATTCCTTGTAGCCAGCATAGTTGTCAAGATGGCACCCTGTGAAAAAAATTAGAACACAAAAGTCAGTGTTGCCTATGCAAATTCTGGACCTAACAAATATAGAGTCTTTGATAACAAATCTTTTCCTGGCCCTACTTTCAGTTAGGGGATTTTTTATTGTTTGTTTTTGTTTTTTGGTTTCCTGAGAGTCAAAGGCCTTTGTCTCTCATGATGCTGGGACGGCCCTAGTGTGCGGGCCAGATTCTGATTATCAAATTGCACAGCTGTTTTCCACTGAAGGAAGGATCCACAGCATGTGTTGCCAGGATGATTCCAGCTTTTCACCATAGTTTTGATTCTGGTGTATATTCCATTTCCCAAGAGCCCCAAAAAGAATAATGAGAGTATTGAGGTCTACATAATTGAAAGCCTTTGCTAGAAGTTATTTTCCTCACACAGTATTTCACTTCTTAGTCTGTCAAATCTACCTCCCCATAAAAATGTAAAATTTCTTACCTTTAGTTTTCTTCTAGCATTAAATTTCTTCAAGCAGTCTACAGTCTCCTGTCTGTGCATCATGGAAGCAACAGTAGAACGTTGCTAGAAGAAGAGGAGAAAAAGTAACTTAATTGAGAATATTTAAAACACACTAAGTATAATAATGTCCCTGACTTCATCAAATATTTATTAATGGTGCTGCACCTGCAGGATCAACTTCTAAGTATTCAATTGCCAAAGTTACCTAAAAATAAAATTTTAGTTTTGCCAAGACTACTTGTGACCAAGATGCAACACTGACGTATAGAAAGTATAGAAATGGGCCGGGCGCGGTGGGTCACGCCTGTAATTCCAGCACTTTGGAAGGCCAAGGCGGGTGGATCACGAGGTCAGGAGTTTGAGACCAGCCTGGCCAACATGGCGAAACCGCATCTCTACTAAAAATACAAAAATTAGCCGGGCGTGGTGGTGGGCACCTGTAATCCCAGCTACTCGGGAGGCTGAGACAGGAGAATTGCTTGAACCTGGGAGGTGGAGGTTGCAGTGAGCCAAGATCGTGCCATTGCACTCCAGCCTGGGTGACAAGAGCAAGACTCTGTCTCAAAACAAAACAAAACCAAACCAGAAAGTATAGAAATGAATATTAATAATTTCTCAAATTATCTTTATTTTAATGTCTTCAATCACATTTTGATTGAGCTGCCTTTCATTTACTTAGTGCCACATTTATCACCTTAGCATTTGACACATTTGGAAATTTACTGAAGTCTCCAGATCCCCCTCAAATTTCACACTATTCTTCTTAATATTTCTAAAATATATTCAGACTACTATGACCATTATTTTACGCCACTGAAACTCTACTGTCAGCTGCCAAACTTCATACTTGTTTCTAAAGTTGCCTAATGATAAATAATTGAACTTTGTTAAATCTTTTCTTCTGGGACACATTTAATTTTGGTGTTATTTTCTTAACCTTGTTCATGAGTATTGTTAATAATTGATATGGAGAATACTCATTCCTTTTGTTACTGCAAGCAATATTTATTTAAGAATCTATGCAATTCAGACTTTGCTACTGAAAATTGCATTTTTTCACCATCATAAAATTAATTTTCTTAAACACCTCGAGTCAAAAATTCATTCATTCTGAGTTTCATCTTTTTTTGCAAAGCTATTTTAAATCCATAAACAATATATTAAAGGAGAGCTTATTTTTCATTTTAGTTCTTGAAGTTTTGGAGAAGTTTTACTTACACAGATCCATGGGTGCTTCAGTGCCTCTGAGGCTGTGATGCGTTTGGCAGGGTTGATAGTAAGCATTTTATTGATGAGGTCTTTGGCTTCAGGAGTCACCGTGTCCCATTCTGGTGATGGAAACTTCAAAAATATAAATTTATAAAAAGTTTAAAAAATAGACACACTCGATCAAACAGGGAAGAGTCAACTACATGAATCATTCCCTCAAGTAGTGAATTTCTTCATAAATTTACTTTTTATATAAGTTAAGTTGTATCTAAAATAAATAAAACCATTTAGATCTATTCTCCCCCTCTATGTAGACAACTATATATATTAAAGAGTATCTGATAAGGGACCAACATATGTACTGAGCTGCATATCACATATGGTAAATACATTTTAAAATTCAGAAAAAAAGAACTTAAGAATCTTCTATTCTTCTCAAAGTATCTCTGCTTTGATCTGAAAATGAAATTTTATACAATCTTTCTCATAATTATTTGCAAAACTTAATAAAAGCAAACAGGTTGCTACATGTACCAATGTCATCATGATATTATGCCAAGGTTCAAAATGAGGTATTATATACTTTCACAACTCATAAGCAGTAATAGCAGAGGTAATAAAACAGCTTCAATTCCTGTGCCAAAACTGACCTATTAATCAGGGCTACTTGGAGTGCTGTAGTGAGAAGAATCTGAGACTACAGGAGCTTCAGCAAGATTTCATTTTAACCCTTCAAGAAGTTTAATCTGCCCAATTACAAATTTCACCAAAGTATATGAAAGTAATCAAATCTTATAACTTCCCATTACTAATACTTTTTTATATTAAGACTATATAAGAAAGCTACTTCTCCTTTCTTTACATTATTTTTTGTAGTGATAATTACTTAACTTACTTTTATATGATTAGCATATTTAGTAGAAATACTGTCCTTCAACGATGAAGGGAAATTTACACCACATTAGTTGCAAAATGATAGAATATCAGGTTATTTTCCCAATTCATGAATTTGTATGGACAATCTTGAAAAATAAAGCCATTGCCACTGTGTCATGGAATTAAATTAGTCCATTTTTAGTAGTTTTAAAATGGGGAACTTGTGACTCACTGGCATAATAAAGCATGAGAAAAATGATATTGACTCTAATATCTGTAATTTTTGCCAGCTAAACAATTGCCATTTTTTAATTCCTGAAGCTTATCTTTGGCAGTTGTAAAAGCTTGCTAACTATTAGGAGCTGTTAAAGAAACACACGAGGCTGTTTCTTAATGTTGTACAGGTCTTCTGATAGCAAATGAGCGGTAGGTTCAGCATGAAGAAAGGTGAACATTTTCCTCAGTTCTCTAATTTTCATGAAAGCATTCCTCTAGGTATACCAAGCAGTGCATTTTCAGGGCTACGTCTGCCCAGAGAGGGGCTGGTTCTAGTCTGTAAAGATGGTGAATGTGCTAGCTATTGCCATGTAAATAATAATTTGTTCCAATTACTAGTCTAGGAATAATGCAATGCTTTGAAATTCAAAGAATATACATTTTTAATTCTTGCTGACACACACATCCATCTAAATAGAAAATTTTTATCAGAAATGCATTGAAGAGTTCACGAGACATTATAGAATATAATAAAGACATTTTATATCTTCTCCTCTCACTTTCACATTGAGCTTTCAACTTGTGCACAAAAGGTGAACCCAATATTGCTACTCTGTAGTTACTCTACTTAATAACACATGGAAAGCATGCCCAGACCCTGCACATGGATTTCCATAGGGCTGTATGAGGGGAAACCTGAGAAAGTGGTAAATCATATTTACAAGAATATGTATCAAAGGAGAGCAAATTATATCATAAACACAAAGTTAAGCCATAAAGAGAAAGTAGATAAAGCCTTCCTCTTCAGATTCTGAACTTAATTTATGAATGTATATATATATATCTACTTTCAAATATTCTAATTATAAATTAAATATATTATTAGAATTATGATTTTCAAATTTTTCAATTGTGAAACTCATTCTTCAAATGAAAGCTTGCATAGTATCCCAAACAGTACAAAAACAAAAAACAAAACCCAGAAACTGGTATAGTGGGATAATGTTCTATTTGATATGTGATCACAGCAAAATATTGTTGGTATATAATATAAAATTATGTGATAGATATTTGAGAATATAATTCAACTAAACAGGCAATAATCATTTCTATAGCAGAAATATTTTAATTTTTATGTTTTTAAAATGCACTAAGGTCCAAATATTTTGACAAAGTTCTTCCTCAGAGACTTCACATGGCTTTTCTTTCAATCTTAGGAGACAGTGAGTTAAAAGGAAACGTAAACTGGATACAAATGCTGCATTTCTTTCTCCCTTTCCTTAAGAGAGAGGGAAATAATATGAGAAAGTGGTAAAAATTATGGTTAAAAGAAAAATGAAAAGATCTGGCTCTTGGTCAACAGGCAAAAGACAAACCTTCATCTAAAGTGATATAAATAGTTATTACATACATCATAAGCTCCAGCCTTGATCTGCTGATAGAGTCTGTGTTGGTCTTCATCCCAGAAGGGTGGATACCCCACAAGTAGAATATAGAGAATGACACCTGGAGGAGAATATAATGTTAACACAATTTAAGTCATATAGACAACAGTAAATTAAATGTGGCTGATCCACAATGATATTAAGCCGTAGTTGTTAAAACAGAGAAAACTGGATTGTAGGAAAACTTCAGAAAGATGTGTTATGATCTAGTCTAGAGCAGTCTCTGGAGGGTGAATGCTTCTCCTCCTATGCTCCAGAACTCTGACAATGTGTCAGTCAATGCATGCATCAAAGAATTCTAAAGAGGCATGGCAGGGCAACATTCATTTAGGGCAACATTCTTTGGCCCCCCTGAACTCTTGTCTATAGAGGGTCTTACTGCATTCTTATCTATATAGAGACTATGATTTTAGTCACTGTGAGGTTGAAGTTTAAAAACTAAGCATGTTTTTTATTTCCTCATACTTGTTTTGATGGTCATTGGGACATTTTGTTGAGTGATGGTGTCCTGGTTATAAATCCACGTTCTAAATAACCATAGTCCCTGCAAATGTGGGTACCCCATAGAGACAAAACCCTTTTCTTTTCAGTAATCTTAGTCTTCAAATACTTCAAGCCTTCTCAGTCAAACAACTAAACCAACAAGACTACAGAAGAATATATATTATGGGAGAGGAAAAAGGGAGAGAAGGGAGAAATTCCACAGAAAATTCAAAGTAATAATAACAATAAACACATGGCTGTAATAAAATTTGCTAAAATTTTTCACAAACATAATTATTTATAAATTAACCAAAATCTAATTTCACTTTTAAAATTAAAAAAATTCTGTATTCACAGTTTGTAAATTTCCCTGAAATCATATCTGCAGTCTAAATGTCTGAGATTGTTTTGATACAGTGGTCTTCTCTGTCATCAAATATCTCTCCTGCCACTTTTCACGTATTTTATTGCCTTGCTTAAGGCCTTTGGTTTCTTTCCTAGCTCATTATCCTGGAGGAAGGCAGTCATTCCTCTGACCTCTCCTGTTTGCTTTTTTCTTGCTATGTTTCCTTAAGCCTAGGAAACCTGAGAAGAAGAGTAAGACAGGTGACACTTTGCCAGGTGTACCCTGAGACTTATTTTTTCCCTTATCCAAGGTGGTCTCTTGGTCTCTGTACCTAGGAGATCTATCCCTGCTCCTGTCCAGCAGTCTGGACATCTTTATACAATAGACACTGTAGCAGCTGAAATGGTTTTTAAGCAATGGTTTAATCATCTTAGAATTTTATAGCCTGCTTCAGGAAGATACAGTTCATAAGCAGATTTTTTAAGTCATGTGAATCAATACAAGGATAAAAAATTTTAAACAACATTCTTAAGGAAAAAAAAAAGACCATGAAGAAAACCACAGTATATTGGTACCTCACCTTCATGACATAAAAATAATTTTTCCATACATCTAATGAAAATGATGATAGTAATGATGATGATGAGTGTTTCTCTTTGTGTTCTCAGGAGGCAAGTAGAAAAAAAGCTGTACCTGAGTAGTTTTAGCCCTCAGCTATATAAGGTTCCAGGAGGTTAAGAAGAAAATTTGCTTTGTAATAGTGATAGTTTCCATTGAATATGAACATTTTCCTAATACACATCTGGAATTAGGCTGTTATAGAATTATGAAATAGTGGCTCAACTGAGACATTTAGCATTCTCAACATAGGCTGTTTGTCCTTATGAATTATGTCTGCAGTTGACAGTTGATGTGGTGCTTCTCTGGGAAGAGGAAGCTCACAGAGGGCTCATTCCATGAGAAAAGCAGGCAATATGTAATAGATGCCCACAATTTAGCTGTTTGATGGAGGAGTGTTTACAAAAACATGTACTTTAAATAAAATAATAGCATAAATGTGAAGATTAAAAAAAACACTTTTAGGCCCAAAGACTTAAAAAAAAAACATATTATAGGTGCTATTGACTAGCCTGATGTGAAATTGTCAGTGCCTATTTAAATAAACACCGTTTTGTAAGTTTACTTCAACTTGATTATTAAACAAGCATCTAAAACCTTTCTGAGTTATGCTATTTTGTAGTTCTATTTTCTGAATGTATAGAACAAGTATGAGACTCATGGCATAAGGATAATGTAATACTAATAAATTTTATTGTAGATAACATTTATTCAGAGTTATGTGTGCTTTAATGCATTATCTCATTTAATCCTTGTATAATGCTATGAGGTAGATATTGTTATTATCTGCATTATATTATAGATGAAGAAACAGGCTGAGAGATTAAGTAACTGTTTCAACCACAAGCAGGACAGACATAATGATGCTCTAAACATTCCCTGCAGCCACTTTTTCTTTATCTATGAACTTTAGTAGGAATGATAATATAAAATTTAAAACTTTGTGTTGTCTAACTGAGAGACCTTGACATACTAGCAAAGATGTCCATTTGGTCCTATCTTAAATGTTCCTTGCAGCTACTTTTTCCTTTAGCTAGGTCCTCTAAACAAATGCTTATTTTAAAAGTGTTTGTTGTTCTAGGCCGGGCGTGGTGGCTCACACCTGTAATCCAAGCACTTTGGGAGGCCAAAACGGGCAAATCACCTGAGGTCAGGTGATCACGACCAGCCTGGCCAACATGGTGAAACCCTGTCTCTACTAAAAATACAAAAAAATTAACCGGGCATGGTGGCACATGCCTTTAGTCTCAGCTACTCGGGAGGCTGAGGCAGGAGAATCGCTTCAACTCAGGAGGTGGAGGTTGCAGTGAGCCAAGGTCGTGCCACTGAATTCTACCAGCCTAGGTGACAGAGTCTTGTGACTCTGCCTCAAAAATAAAAATAAAATAAAATAAAATAAAAGTGTTTGTTGTTCTAATTGAGTTCTTGCCTCATGAGTAAGCCCAATTTATCTTTTTAATAAACCTAAATTTTACCTTTTTTCTATGTCAGAGAAAAAAGAAAGGAAAAAATCACTAGCTCTTTTTCTTTGCCCATATACCTAAAGTACTAAAATCATTAAAAGTCAATGAAGAAGTCTTTTTTTTGCGAGACCACTTGAGGGGTGATGATGTGACCTCCAAATGTTGGGTATCTCTCATGACACTAGCAGCCTTTTATGATTACTGCCTACATAATTTTACTGGGGTTGCAAAATAATGATGGCTGGGCATGGTGGCTCACACCTATAATCCCAGCACTTTGGGAGGCTGATGTAGGAGGATCACTTGAGCCCAGGAGTTCAAGATTAGCCTAGCCAACATAGCAAGACCCTGTCTCTTCCAAAAATAGAAAAATTTAGCCAGGTGTGGTGGAATGCACAGCTAGTCCCAGCCACTTGGGAGGCTGAGGTGGGAAGATCACTTGAGCCCAGGAGTTCGAGGCCACAGTGAACCATGATCACATCACTGCATTCCAGCCTGGGCAACAGAGTGAGACTCACAAACAAACAAACAAAATGATGATACTCTAATTATATCATGCTTTCTTTAGACTAAGAAAATCTTGCTCCTTATCCACTTGGTTGGCCTAAGATACAGTTCATATAGGAAAGATAGGCTATTATTTATTTATTTTCCTCTTTACTAGCCAGTTTTTAAAATAACGCATTGGCTCCCCAACATCCCCCAAAGGTTAGGACTTCTGTTGAATTTTGATTATCATTATCAATTCCTGGATTTAAACTTACTTGATGTATTTCAATCTATTATGTTATTTTTCTTATTGATTCTCAATTGCCCCATCTTTGGCTAGTGCCAGCCTCCTCAAAGTGGTTCCTGCATCTGTTAATATAAACTCTGTGGTCCTTAATAGTTTTTCTTTGTGGTATGACAAGATGCTCCTGGATCATCTTGCTTTTTTCCTGTTCTAAACTTGAAATCAGCTGCTATTACAGAAAGTTCTGGTTCCTTTTAATGGTAAATAGTATCTAGAGACCAAGATTGAGCACTTACATGTGCTGTCTTGGAGCTACAGTTTTCTTTGAAAAATAAATCAAGAAATAAGGAGACAGAAGAGAGAATGGAGCAAAAATTACAAATTAAGAATGACTAAGAGACCTAAGAGACCAAACAAGATTATGACAGGAGAGGATAAATAGGAAAATGACTAGATATTTTGATGTTACTAAGCAATAATTATTAAAATTTTAAAACTAATATTACTGTCATATTTAGAGTCCTTTTCTTTTAGAGATATACTTTAAAATATTTATAGATGTATTGATACAATGTTTCAATTTGGTTAAGATAATATTGGAGTGGGAAATGAAAGGGAGGAAATAGATGAAATAAGATTAGCCATCAGTTTATTATAGTATTCTCTCCATTTTATGTTTCACATGTTCCATGACAAACAGTTAAAACTATTTTTGATAGAGTTGGTTCCATATACAGGTAGATATTAAAACTAGTTTTCCTTATCTTATGTATATATTTGTGCTTGGGAGATGCTAGAGATGTCCGGTTAATAAGACTTTTGAGAAGCACTGATTACAATTAGGTAGAAAGACTATATCATCGAGAACATTCAAAATTGATTTTAATAAAAGTTAATGTTAAAAAAGTTGTTAAACCTATAATCTTGTTAATAATTAAACATTCTAAATGCTGTTCTTACAAAAGGAGAGATGAAGAAGGAATGTTGGAGAACTCTGAGAAGATAGTAGGAAGTTAATGGAAGAATCTAAGACAGTTACTGAATATTCTAAGTAAATAAAGGGGTACATTATAAACTTATAAGCAAAATGCATGTGGAACTTGGAAGTACACAATTAATTACATGAGTGATAAGTATGGCTCTCTCTTACCTTGTTGTAGTATGATTAATGGAAAATCATCATACATTTCAAGTAGAGAAAGTGCTCAACTAACACTCTGACCTAAATGGCCAATGAAGGGCAGAACAAAGAGCTAGAAGATCAATGCCAGCAAGATAGGAAGGCATGTTTCAGAGGATGGAAACTATCTATGCCATGTAGTAGGAGTGGCAAACTGACAGGCCTTTTGGCAGCAGGCAGGGATGAAGGCCTGCACCTGTACTGTGTATGGGGTGGGGTGGTCACCAGGGCGGCAGCTGTGTTCATGTGTCTGACAGGTACAATTACTATAAAAGAGCAAAAGCATTGCATCACCTGTTCTTTTGATTATTTTAGAGAAGCAAGAAACTGATAGTTTTTATAGAAATTACTTGCTAATAAATTATAAAGATAAATAATTAACATCAACACTCATAAGAATAAAATGTCCGCATGTCTGACTAAGACAGCAGACTGCCTGCAATGGAGAGAATGTTTGTACGGCTCTCAAAATTCATATGTTGACATCCAAATCCCAATGTGATGGTATTTGGTGTGGTGGGGCCTTTGGGAGATATTTAGTCCATGAGGATGGGTCCCTCATGAACAGGAACAGCACCCTTTTAAGAAGACGGCAGCTAGCTAGCTAGCTCTCTTAACTACCATGTGAGGATACAACAAAAAGTTGGCAGTCTGTAACCCTGAAGAGGGCCCTCACCAAAACCTGACCTGACTATGGTGGCACCCTGATCACAGACTTCCAGCTTCCAGAACTATGAGAAAGAAATTTCGTTGTTTATAAGCCACGCAGTCTATGTGACTTTGTTATAGCAGCCTGAACTAAGACTTCACCTGTTTGCAACCTCTGACATATCCTGTAATAATCCTAAAAACTGCTCTCCTAAAGGAATCTGAAATTAGCTGTGGTAGTATTGCTTAGCTTTGGTGTTGCATCAACATCACCTGGTGCGCTTGTTAAAGTGCAAATTCCTGAGCCTCACCTCAGTGAATCTTTTTTTTTTTAAATTATGCTAAAAATACCTAACATTAAATTTAAACACATGACATTAAATTGTACATAAAAAAGGTCCCGCACAGTGACTTTAAATTGTACATAAAAAAAGGTCCCACACACTTTCAATCCCAGCACTTTGGGAGGCCGAAGTGGGCAGACTGCTTGAGCTCAGGAGTTTGAGACCAGCCTGGGCAACATGGCAAAACCCTGTCTCTACAAAAAGTAAAAAATTAGCAGGGTGTGGTGGTGTGCACCTGTAGTCCCCACTACAGGGGAGGCTAAGGCAGAAGGATAACTTCTGCCTGGGAGGTGGAGGTTGCAGTGAGCTAAGATGGTGCCACTGCACCCCAGCTTGGGCAACAGAGCCAGACCCTGTCTCGAAATAAATAAATAAATAAATAAATAAACAAACAAACAAATAAATAAATAATTAGTACATAAAACAGATCTTTTTTTTTGTTGTTTTTTTGTTTTGTTTTGTTTTTTAAAGACAGGGTCTCACTCTTTTTCACCCAGGCTGAAGTGCAGTGGCATGAACATGGCTCACTGCAGCCTCAACTTCCCTGACTCAAATGATCTTCCCGGGCTCAGCCTCTCGAGCAGAGTAGCTAGGACTACGGGTGTGTGCTACCATGCCCGGCTAATTTTTTCTGTTTTTGTAGAGGTAGGGTCACACTATATGTTACCTAAGCTGGTCTCAAACTTCTGGGCTCAAGTGATTCTCCCACCTTGGCCTCCCACAGTGCTGGGATTACAGGCATCAGCCACCATGTCCAGCCAGATGCACAATTTTTAAGTGAACAGTTTTGTAGTACTAAGTACATTTACACTGTCATGAAACAGATCTCCAGTTTGTTTTCATTTTTCAACACTGAAACTCTATATACATGAAACACTAATTTCCCCTTTCTCTCTAGTTCTTGGTAATCACCTTTCTATTTTCTGTTTCTATGAAAGTGACTGTTTTAATACTTCATGTGAGTAGAATCATAATAATATTTGTGCTTTTGTAACTGGCTTATTTTGCTTAGCATAATGTCCTTGGGGTTCATCCATGTTGTAGCACGGGACAGAATTTCCTTCTTTTTTAAGGTTGTATAATATACAATTATACGTATAAACCACATTTTGTTTAAGCTATTTATCTGTCAATGGACATTTGGGTTACTTCCACCTCCTGGTTGTTGTGAATAGTGTTACTATGATCATAGGTGTACACATATTTCTTCAAGGTGCTTCTTTCAATTCTTTTGGATATATAACCAGAAGTGGGATTGCTGCATCCTGTGGCCCCAGAGAATCTGATTCAATGGTCCTGAGGTAGATCTCAGGAGGGTGCACTTTAGGTCACTCTGAATGAACCATGTGGTTTGTGTTTCAGAGTTTGAAAAACACCAAGTTAGGGAAACCAGACATAGTAAATGTAGAGAAATTTAAGACAGTGTGTAAGTTCAGAGTAAGAGAATATTGGTAAAGACTATGATTGGGAGTAAGGCTCCATGAACTGAAGACTGTTGGAGATGTGGGTAAGAATGGATGAAGGCAGAAGGCTTCTAATCTGGAGGCCTATCTGTGATTGGCCAAGTGTAAGGTAACCTCAGAACTGGTAATAGCAACAGAATATCCAGTAGGCTTGGGATTTCAAAATGACTAAAGTAACTGATAATGACTTACACCAGCTGAAATATGAAAAGGTTAAACCCCAGAAAACACATCATTGCTGAACCTAAATTCACCACACAAGAAAAGAAGAAACATATTCCATAAAATTCCCAAGGTTTGTCCGAAGTCAAGGTACATTTGTGACAGCCACTAATTTATTATCACTCATAACTGTTGAGAGTGATACCTAAGTAAGGCAGAAAAGTAGCAAGACAACACATATGTACATAGGGTGCGGGAGAGACCTATGTTATAGGCTTGCATTTATTTATTTATTTTTAGGCCAAATTGTAGAAGAAGCTCTGTTAGAAATTTGTGATCCAGTGACATCCACAAACATTTCCTCATCCCATTAGGAAATTATGGAAGCAGTTATACATACAATTAAGTCATAAAAATCAATTTACTGCTGTTAATGGCAGAACACAAGGCTATGTTCTTGCTTCATTAATGTTTATTATTTGCTTTCCAGTAATGGAATAGTTGCTTCCAAAGAGAGAGTACAGGTCAGACCATACTCTGTGTGCGATCACAAAAGCAAGGTAATGTTGGAATTCGAGATTTCCTGTGTGCAGATAATTGCATGATTCTAATAAAAATAATGTACAGGCTTGTTTTAGTCATTATACCAATGCCCTGCTTCACTCTGCTCTGCTGTAATGAGGGTTCAGAGCTTAATTCATATAGAAGGCTAGCTGCCTTTCTGCTAAATGGCTTGTTTTGCATTTCTTTTGTTTTCTGAGTAGTGTAATTTTTTACCACTCAACCCAGTGTCTACTCTTGAAAATAAGTCACTACTTAATTGGCAAGAGACAGTGCTAATGAATGGCTAAAAAAGAGTTTCCCTCAGGATAAGCCACAACCTAAAAGCAACCAAATAGTGTGTCCATTACTGTGGTGGTGATTACAATGATGATGAGTTTAAGGGTACATCACCTTACAAATAAAGTGAATTAATGTCACTTTCATGTCACACGAGTGAGGTGATATATAATAAAATGGTAAAACAATTCCAAATCCCACAACAATGACCAAGATATGTAACAAAAGAATACATTATAATGTTCTAGTGGGAGTCATTTCCCCTCAACATGTGATATTAGAACACTTAAGACATTTTCATAGCTGTGTGATCTCAAGTGCATTTCTAGACAAAGCGTCCACACAGTCTCTAAAGAAATGGAAATTGGTGGCACATACATGCTCCAACTGGGGCAAGGCTCATCACAAAGGAATTTGGCTGTTTGCATAATATTATGTGAAGAAAGGATACAATATAGCAAGGTGAAAGGTGGCAAAATTGGGGTTAAAAATCTATGAGATGCCCTATGGCTATAAGTTTCTAAGGAGTCATTCTTGATGTGTGTGTGTGTGTGTGTGTGTGTGTGTGCATGCATGTATGCACATGTGTACGTAGTATCTATCTAATATTTGCTTAACACCTAACAAAATGTTATATAGTTTAGAAAACAAAGATGGAAACTACTCTCTACCTATCCTTTTTCCCTCTTCCAGACAAGAAAGTTAGAGCTTCTAACTTATAAGTTCTCTCACATTTCACAGATATGAAATCTCACTATTATAAGATATTCCATTATTTTAAAAGGTTAGATATATGAACTGTATTACAGAAATGTACTCAGACAATCCACATAAAATCAAATATTCCAAAGTAATATTAAAATTGAACATAGTGTGTTTTGTGAGTCTAAGACAGTGAATCCAAACTCTGATAATACATCATAGGTTATTAAAAATGCAGTTGCCTGTGTTTACCACAGATCCACTAAAGCAGAGGCCCATGCAGGATCTGGGCATTTTGATAGAAAGGCATATGTGGTTTTACTGTGCTTTTTTTTTTTTTTTTTTACTGTACTTTGCAGATATTGCATTTTTTACACACTGAAGGTTTATGATAACCCTGCATTGAGAAAGTCTGTGGTGCCATTTTCCTAACAACTTGGGTTCACTTTGTGTCTCTGTGTCACATTTTGGTGAGTACTGCAATATTTCATGAAAGGAAGAGTTAACTGATGTGGCAAACTTCATTGTTGTCTTATTTTCAGAAATTATCACAGCTTCCCCAACCTTTAGCAACAACTATCCTGATAAGTCAACAGCCATCAACACTGAGGCAAGACTCTTCAGCAAAAATATTGCAACTTGCTGAAGACTCAGATGATGATGATGATATTTTAGCAATACAGTTTTTTTTTTTCTTTTTTCTTTTTGTAGAGATGGGTCATCCTATGTTGCCCAGGCTGGTCTCAAACTCTTGGACTCAAGATCCTCCTGGGTTGGCCTCCCATAATGCAAAGATTACAGGCATGAGTCACTGGGCCTGGCTATTTTAAAGTATTTTTTAGGTAAGGTATGTGCATTTAGACATAATGCTATCGTATACTTAATAGACTATAGTACACTGTAAACATAACTTCTATATGTACTGGGAAACCAAACAATTTGTGTGACTCACTTTATTTTGATATTTGTTCTATTGTGAGACCAGAAATTAAACCCATAATATCTCTGAGGTTTGCCTGTATATGCTTCATCATTGATTTTTCTGCACAGCCAGAGAAGAATCCCTAGCATAAACTATTAGCTTTTTGGGTTTCTTTTTAGTGGATCTGATATTCTTCAACACCAATAAAACTTATACATTATAAAAAAAGGTTTTAAATTTTCAAAAAATTCTTAATTTTTTTGGATTGACAAATTATGATTGAATACATTTATGGGGTATAATATGATGTTTTGATATTTACAGATATACAATGTGGCATAATTAAATAGAGCTAACTCACCTATCTATCACCTCACTTGTCTATCATTTTTTATGGTGACACATTTGAAACATGAAAAAATGTTTTCGATATAAGAACAAATGAATAATTTATTTAAATTCTTTGGCAGAGTAAAATATGATTCAGAAGCTGTGAAATCTGTCCATAATAACACCTTTTACAAAATAAAACAAGGGAAAATAATTTAAAAGTAAAGAAAGAAAGCAGAGAGAGGGAGAGAGAGAATTTGGTATTCAGGTCATCAGATGAGGGCATTCTACTGATAATCACGCCAATAATGCTGAGTTATATAATACACTTTGTTTTTTAAGCCTACTATAATGCATATATCAGTTATCTAGAAACTTCATTTATAAATAAAGACTTTGTATAATAATAGCAATGATAACTATCACTTACTGTATTTAAAAAATCCTCTCTGCAGTCCCATGAGGCAAGAACTTTGATGATCTCCATTTCTAAGAGGGAACTGAGACACAGGGACTAAAGAATTTGTGCCATGTCATACAGCAAGTGAACTGAGAAGCTAAGTGTGTTCTCTTAACCACTATACATACTGCCTCTTACCTATGAAGTAGACAGGAGGGATGAAGAAAAAAAGTAGAAAATAGGAAGGAAACTAGGAAAACAAGGAGAGATAAACACAAAGGCAGAAGAGGCTGGAAAAGGCCTTTGATGAAGCAGGCAAAGAAAGAGTATGAAATGTCCCTTATGCTGAGTCCTGCTTCCCTTGGTTACTGACTATTGTATGCCACACTATCCCTCTAGTGTTCAAGGTCCAAATGCAGCGTTTTAGCTACAACCCCCTATCTTTACAAAAATATAGCTTTATCATGTTTTAAAAATACTTTAAAAAATATGATTGTATCCTTCACAAAACCTGTCTGTGTCTGCCTGAGTCTCAGGCCACTCTGTTGCTTTTTAAATTCATCAGCAGAAACAGATCTATGTATGCTGGGAGCTGATTTATTGCAAGGAAAATATCTGAGATATCTTCCATTAACATTTAGATTTGAACAAAGATATTTTGTGACAATGCTCTAATTCAAGGCATTTTAGAGTTCATGCCTTAGAGTTCATGCTTAGAAGATACTCTCAGGTAGGTAGCAGGAAGACAGAGCTTGGGGCATTCCTAAGACCTTACCCATTAATTAAGTAGCAATTGTCAATTGTCTTCCTTTAAAGTGCACTGCATTTGACCCTCCTACAATTCAATGAGGGTAACATATTCCTATTTTACAGGTAAAGAAACCAACTCAGATATATTAAAGAGACTGGGTTAGTAGGTAAAACGTAAAGACTGAACCCCAGGGGTTGAAACTATAAATATAGTGCCCTATTTTACCACTGCCTTCCCAGGCATGGAGGTAACTCTGAAAGCCCAAGATTCAATCAGTTTAAGATCAAACATCAAGTTGTTACCAAAGAGGTAAAGCTGACAAGAAATATAGTGAGGAACAGCCTATCACTATAAAGTAGTGATGATGAATTTATTAACTTTTTAAACTAAAACAAGTCTAAAAAATTATTTTCAGAATCAAGTAAAGTTTTTTAAATCAACTTTTCCAAGCTTGCTGACAAACACCAAAGGCACTGAAATCTGTCTGCAGCACACTAAAGCCAAACTATGATAGTTAGGTATCTACTTGTAGGCTGGTAGCAATGACATAGTATCAGGAATTTAGGTGATTATGTTGATAATCTTAGTAGGGTAATGTTGCAGCATTCTTTCAGTCTTTCCTGTATTCAAAATATATGTTGAAACATAAAAATTCCATTATAAAAACTGTGGGTGAAAATCCTCCCCATTATATGTCTTTGGGCCTGCATAGGATACTGTTTTTGATTTGAGTTGGCTGATAGAGGCCTAAATCAGACTTCTGTCCCCTCGGGATGGTCAATTTCATTATTTTCCAATATTTACTAGTTCACTCTTAAACTCTGCCAAGTATCATGGGCAAACATAATACTTATTGGAAGGACTGGCTGGATCCATTGAGAAGATAGCAGCATAAATACATAACCACTAGGAGCAATGCTCCACATCCCTGTTATCAAAGTGTTCCAGAAAATGGCAGCATTAGCATCACCTGAGAGTTTGTTAAAAAGGTAAAAGTTTCTATCCTGGATATACTGAATCAGAAACACAGCAATCTGTCATTTAAACAGCTGTCCATGTAATCTTGCTGTAGACTGAGGTTTGAGAACTTCTACTGTAAGTCGATCACTAGAGAATATCAACTTCAAATTTAAAAGATATTACAGGGTGAGTATCCCTTATCCAAAATGCTAAGGACCAGAAATGTTTCAGATTTTGGATTTTTTCAGATTTTGTAGTATTTATACATACATAATAAGATATCTTGGGGATGAGACCCATGTCTAAACATGAAATTCATTTATGTTTTATACACATCTAAACACATAGCCTGAAGGTAATTTTATGAAATATTTTAAATATTTTTTAGCATAAGATAAAGTTTGGACTGTGTCTGACTGCAACCCATCACATGAGGTCAGGTGCAGAATTTTCCACATGTGGCAATCAACGTTGGCACTCAAAACGTTTTGGATTTTGGAAGCATTTTAAATTTCAGATTTTTTGATTAGGGATGTTCAACTTGTATTTTAAATTATAAAAATTGTGGTTGTTATAGACAATATTTGTGTCCCTCATAAAATGCATGTGTTAAAATCCTAACTCCTAATATGATGGAAGGAAGGAAAGTGAGGTCTTTGGTAGGATGGAGGCCTCATGAATGGGATTAATGCTCTTATAAAAGAGACCCTGGGAGCCCCCTCTCTGTTTCTGCCATGTGAAGACACAAAGAGAGGATAACTCTCTATAAAACTAAAAGCAGGCCCTCACCAGACACCGAATCTCCTGGCACCTTGATTTTGAATTTCCCAGCCTTCACAACTGTGAGAAATAAATTTTTGTGGCCAGGCATGCTGGCTCACACCTGTAATCCCAGCACTTTGAGAGGCTGAGGCAGGTGGATCACCTGAGGCAGGAGTTCAAGACCAGCCTGGCCATCATGGTGAAACCCTGTCTCTACTAAAAATACAGAAATTAGCCATGCATGGTTGCACGTGCCTGTAATCCCAGCAACTCAGGAGGCTGAGGCAGGAGAATTGCTTAAACCTGGGAGGCAGAGGTTGCAGTGAGCCGGGATTGTACCACTGCACTCCAGCCTGGGCGACAGAGCAAGACACTGTATCAAAATAAATAAATAAATAAGAAATACATTTTTGTTATTTAACCCACTTGGTCTATGACAGATTGTTATAGCAGACCAAATGGACTAAGACACTAGCTTATCACAAAATTTGCTTCAAAATATAATTGCTTACCACATGCCCACATATCCACTGGCTTTCCATAAGGATCTTTACGTAAAACTTCTGGAGAAAGATATCCAGGTGTGCCAGCAAAACCTAGGGAAAAGAGATGTTAATGAGTCACAGTTGATTTGACAAAACAATATGAAATGGGAAACTAAGAAAGAAAAATATCGGGGGCTTCTTTATCTGATTATATGTTTTTCAAAACACAACAAGGTTCTCAGAGCAATAAATAGTGTAGACTTTCTCTTTATAGAAATATCAACACTAGTATGCCCTGCCCTGTAACTCATTTGAAAAAAAATACATCTTTTTTTCCAGATATGAAGGCCAATCTACTATGCTGCAAAGTCACTGTGTATACTTAAGGCCACTTTTGGTTAGCAATTCTTATTGTCCTTTATGTATATGGGAGTTAAAACTACACCTGAAAAGAAATATGGAGAAGAACTCACCAGGAGAAGATATAAGTCGAAAATATATCACAGAGCTCACTGTGTACTGTTAAATAATCAGTATGTACTTGTAACTGGCAACTAAAGAGAAGATGCAGGAATATTCAGATGAATCACTACTGAACAAGTATCAACTAGACATTCGACTTAAGAAGGGATGTGGTAAGAAAAACTAGATGGGGAAAGAAAACTTCATATTATACATATTGGTATAGAATTCAATAAGTTACACTTAGAAACAATTTATAGCTAGAATCTAGAGTAAAATATTTATTTCTGAAAATAACAGTTTTTTAAATAAAAATGTTTACTTGAAACATACTAAAAATAACTATCCTCATTTGGAAGTTTTCTTTAAAAGCACAAATAAACTAAAAAAAACTTTTTAAAAGTATATATAATGGAATTTCTCCAACCACAGATCACTGATGAAACACACTGTATACTTATTGAAATGCAAAGTGTCCAAGAAAGAAACTTTTTCCCCATTTCTGTGACAAATTTATACTTATTAAGTACAAACAACATGCAAAGAGGTATTAAAAGACAATATATACAACACAGTTACTTCTCTGAACAAAAAAGAAAATGAGGAAAAAAACTTTGCACTTAATCTTTTTTCTTTTCTATTACCATTCTTCTTTTTCTGTTTGTTTTGGGGGAAGATTGGATAGACAATGAGAAGGGATTCCAAGAAAAGACCTGTATGTTGCAATTTAAGCTTCAAATGGACCCTGGGTAATCCATCTGTACCTCAAACTCGACTTGAAATAAATATTTGGTTGGTAGTTGTGAGGTACAGAGAATTACTGAGCAATAATGGTGGTTCCACTGCCTAAAGCTTGAAGATTTCCTCAAGGAGTGATATGCACTCTGTGAATTCCAAGGTAGAGATGGACACAATTGTTTTAAAGAGTTTGCCAGCACTTCTGTCCCCTCCACTCTCACCATCCTTCTCCAACTTCTCTAGAGTTGACAGGCAATGAGACTCCAGTGAGAAATCGATGCTAATGTCCAGATTACATCCAATGTTCTTAGTGTGCACTTTCAGATCCTTTATCATCCGGCTACACTTCATTCATTCAACATGATTTCATTCTCCTTCTGAGCCCTTGACCTGACTAATCTCTTTAAGGTCTTTTAAAAATGGCCTTCTCAGTGTCACCCTTGATACTACTTTTTCTGTTCCTTGAATCCTCAATATTTTTTCTCTACCTCTTTTCTAACAGAGAGTGGCTCTAAGTTATTTCCATCTTAGAGCTCTCCTTAGTTACCTACAGTTCTCGGTGGTCCCTTCTCACCCTGAATTTCAATGACTCTTTTATATACAATCTGTACTCTTCTGTCTAAATCAGTAAACTTTAATAATGTATGATTTCAATAACTTAGAATACATGGCCAGAAGTACGAAATGTTAACAATACCTCTCCTAAGCTTCCCTAAGATAGGGAAGTAAGTTACTATGTGAGGAAGAAATGAAAAGATCATTTAAAATATAAATTATTACAAACCTCTTCTGGAGACTAAAATTCTAAGAGAATACCAGCATGCTCATTCTTATTTAGTTACAACCATCATTTGAGCAGTCAATGGGGTCCTTACCCCAAGAATATTGAAGCATATATCTAAATGCATGGACGTTAGGAAAGAATGTACGGTACAATGTGACCTCATAAATACAGACATATGGGGGGTAAAATAGAGAAGACCTTCTCTGTGGGAAATTAAACTTGCAAGAATCTAGGATTATCATACTACATGCCATCAATAGAAAAAGTAATGAGAGCTTGCCTTTTTTAGGGATAGCATATGTTTCTTACTTTGAAAAACCAATAAGAAAATCAAAATAGATAACACAAAGAGAAAAGAGAATTACTGACTGTTGGAAATGTATCCATTGTAACACATTGGCATAAAAAGAACCTTAATATCATAAAAAAGAGACATAACAGCAACAAAGCAAAATAATTCTTCCATGAACCAAGATCTTGGTAGTTATCTTTTTTTTTTCTAGCAGCAACAAAATGCTAGAAATGTATTGCAAATAACATGTCCAGTTCCATAAGAGAAACAGAATATATTTGAATATTTCTTTTTGGTAAATTTTCTAGCCATCTTATCAAGTATAGTGACAGGGTGTTTACTTCTACCAGTTTTGGCTAGTATTCCAACAGACCAGACTAGAAAATGAAAAGTAAATATGGGAAAAAACAAACAAGTTGGGACTTGAAAAATGATAATTAAAAAAAAAACAATAAACAGCTTCCATAATGCTTTGTATTATCTATTATGTTGTTTCGTATACATACTATGTTTTTTCTTATTTGTAATGGACCTCGTATATTTATTAAAATAAAATTATGTAAAAGCCTGAAGCTCTGGTATTCCACATAATGAAGAAAGAGTCCTGCTCTTTATCAAAATTAAAATAACAAAGCTTTTCCTCCATAAACACTGATATTACATTTTGAAAGATAAAATTAATCAGTAAAAATATATGGGACTATAATGGCAGATCATAATGAATAAACATCAAAACAGGTCATTCATTATTAAAACATGCCTTTACTCCTAATACTTAAAATATATCTGGCAGCTCATCTGAAAGAAACGTAGAACACCACATCTCCTTTTTTCTCAGATTACCATGAAGATTCGCTTGAACTTGAGAAAAGAAAAAGAAAGAGAAAAAAGAAGTATATTCTCCCAAGTTTAGACACTCTGTTTTTCTGTACTTCTGAAATACTGAATTGCCTTAGAACTTAAGATGTTGCTTCTTTTAAAAGTTATTACTCTAACAGGTACCTTAACAATAACTTAATTGCTGATAGCACCATGCTGATGAAGTGGAAATTTTATTGCTGAGCTGTCACTGCTTCTTTGGGACCAGCTTGTTTTTAGAAATCAGTAACAATTTGAAAATCTATGTACTTTTATTTGGATGCTATTGCTTTTACTGACCTGATATTCAGTCCTCTACTCACTGATTCACTAAACAACTCTCACTGAATATGCAAAGAATTATGTCATTGTTTCACACCAAGACAATTTTGAAAACTTATTGAACATCCTTTATAGCTCAATCAAGTTTCTATGGACTATTTCACTCAATCTTATAACAGTCCTGTGAAGAAGTGTTTATTATCCCATTTACAAAGAGGATAGTGACCTCACAGATTTAAAGTGACTTGCTCAATATCATACAGCTGTTAAGAATCAGAGCCAAGATATAAATTCATATATTCTGATTCATAAAGTAAAATTTTTTCCACTACACATAGCCCTGCTCTCAAACTATATGTGTCATAGCAGAGGAGATAAAACATTAAGCTCAAAAACAGACGAGATTTAAGGAGCTTGATTCCAACATTCTTGTAATCATCAAACATAGCTGCTGATGCTAATTTGAGCCTCAGACCTGATAACAAAGGCTTGTCTTATTCCTGATATCCTATCATCATCTTTACCAATTTCTGGCAATTATATCCCTGGGCCTAAGTTCCCATTTTTGTATCCTGCCTCATACCCCAAGTCTCTCATGAAGTGGGGTCCTGCTTTGCTCTACACAGGACTCGAGTCCTGTCTTTGAACCCAATGTCTGGGACTTTCATGTTTCCTAAACAGATTCCCTTAGAGTTCATATTTCCTGTCTGATCTGTATGTTATTTGGAACTTGCTTGCTCCTACACCCTCCCTAGTCAACGCTATCATCATGCATAATTTGAACGATTGTTTTAGTCTAACTGGGTCCTTGCTTGCAGATTAACTATGCTTAAATCATCTTCTATACTTCTACTGGAATCATTATTAAACAACATACACCCAGTTATGTCCCTCTCTTCTAAAAATGTTTCACCAGATCCCAAAATCTCTAAGGTGAAATCCAAATCCTTCAAAAAAACATAAAATCATTTCCTGCCTCATTAACTACTACTCACTCGAGTATACTTTAGCTTTATCAAACTTCTTGTTTTACTGTAATAGAAAAAATAGTTTCATGCCTCTGAGCCTTTCCATGTGCAGATCCCTCTGTCTGGAATGCCTTAATCTTCTTGCATGACAGTGAGCAAAGTCCCATTCATCCTTTAGGCAACCATAAGTGTTAAGGCAATTATTGAACCTCTCTCCAGAGGCAGGTTTTTGTACTTCCTGTCTTGTGTTCCCACAGCACCTCATACATTCCTATGTTAAGATACTTCCACCCTGAATGGTAAATAGTTATAGATACAAAAGCCTTAGCTCCTCCAGGGTCAGGACTTCCTACTTAATTTATGTATCTCTAGTATTTGCTTTGCCCATCTCTGTGATAGCCCCACTACTTCCTGTTCAACCCTTAACTCCTGTTACAATATATTCTTTCTGTGTTAATTGTACTCTTTTCCAGGATACAGAGATCATCTGAATCTCTAATTTACAGACCTAATCTAGGCCCTACCTTCGTTCAGTTTGCAGTTAATGGGTACAAGCTTATTAAAAAGTTAAAATATTATAAACAGAATGACAAGTTTGGAGGTATTAAATTCATCTAGGATTGGAGGGTAAAAAGATAATGTAAAAGATAATATTAAACATGAGAGAGACTTCAACCAAGAATAACTGTCAGGTACTACTGAAAAAGGACAGGCAGCAGGAACTGAGGTCCTGCATTAGGCTGCCAGGGAGGCTTGGCACACCCTCCACTCCCAGTAACAGCTGGGGCAGAAAAGGGAGATGTGGTGAATCCTGGGAGCCATATGTACATCTTGGGAGATGTGTACATTAGGGACTCAGAAAAGTATTTGCATATAAAACAAAGAAATAGCATGTTTTTAGTCCTCTATTTGTTGTTGTTGCTCAGAGGAAAATAAATCAGAAATGAAGGGCATTAAAACAATTATCTAACCTCAACACACCGAAAGTCAGAAGACAAGACAGGCTTGGGGAGAGGTTATATTTTTGGAACTATACATGGGAAGTGGGTTGGATATTGGAAAATGGCAGAGAGAGGCATATGAAAATTAATGAGTAAATAATTTATTCAGACTGAATATTGAAACAAAACATAAGTCTGGTTAGAAATACTATAATTTAAATTTATTTAGAGTTAATTTCTTCCTTAATTGTAAAGAAGCAGAAATTTCATCATATAAAAATTTCTAAATTATCAGAATTTTTGAGAGGAAACTGGCATGTTGAAGACATACAAAATAACTAAGGTGAAATATACACATAAATAGATGCTTCATAATTTTTAAACAATCTTTAAATCATAAATCATAAAGTATTATATGTGAAATATCCTGTGTTTCTTGAGCATCTACTATTTACACAGCAGTTTTTGGCATCATATGAGGTTGTATGCAAACAATCAACTTTCTTTCAAATAAAAAAAGTACTCTTTGAATGTTGTAATCCTCTAATTAATGCTTACTAAATAATGTACTTTCTCAATCATCCTTTGAAGAAAAAAGTGTATGTCTTCTTGTTCTCCCATTAATATTTTCCCTTGAATTATTTCTAGATTATATAACCTTTTATGTCAACAAAATTAAATGCTTATAAAGGCACAATATCTAAAAATTAGTCAAATTGTTATTAGGATGAAGTTTTCCATTTTATTTTCACTAGGAAGTGGGATTAGGAGCCAGAATTCAGAAGCCAGAAGACTATAGGTAGCATGAAGGAGGGGGCCCTACTCACCAAACCACGCCTGCTGGTCCCCTTGAACTTCTATGGCTAAGCCAAAGTCTGCCAATTTCACAGCTGCTCCCTTGGATTTGCTAGCTAAAAGCAAATTCTCAGGCTTTATTTAGAAAGAAAAAAAAAGAGACTGAAGTGAGAACCTATTTTAAGCGACTATTCAAAACTAACAACATTTTACAGGATTAGGGGGAAAAAATTCATGCACTGTCATCTTTCCTGGAGACTGCCATTCCTAAATCCCAGGGAAAATACAGTTAGAAAATGATTAAATATTATCATGTGTGCAGGCTTCAGACAGATGCATAACTGTCCTAGAGAGATACTGGGTAGAAGAGAGAATACACTTGGGGAGGGATCAAATGAATGAGAGCACCTGTCTTGACCTGCTCACATGTTTCCAAGGACTGCTCAGGATTCAGACTTGGCCACGGACATTGACTTAGAAGCCTAACAGAGCAGACATTTTCAGCAGAAGGAAACTTGGCAAAATAATAACAAGAGTTGGACCAATCTACAGACATTTGGCAAATGAAACTGTGCAAATTAAATCCTAGTTAACTTCAAGAGTTTGGACCCAAATGTAGTGATTTTGATTCCTCAATGTTTCCAAACAATTTTGGTACAAATTTTGGAGACTTACTCTGAATTATGTATTAAAATTGCTGTCTTTAAGAATCTGTTTATTCTTAAAGGCAGAAAGAGTATACTACTATTTGCCAAATGTTATAGTCAGCTTTTTTTTTTCTTTATAAGCCAGCTTTTAAAACATAATTTACATTTCTTCAAAGCGTGATTCAGAGCATTACTTATATATTTATTTTTCCATCTCAGAGTACTATGAGAAAGATATATTTTTATTTTCTTGGGTACTTATCATTATGCAAGGGCTGATAACTCAGTCTTGGAATAAGGCTGTGTCTATACCACTGTTTCCCAACCAATGCATCAAGACACATCAGTACTTTGAAAATAAGCACCAGGGAACAGTCTTCAATTTCCATGAATCGCCTTTGTGGATTTTAAGAAATGAAGATGATCAGGAAAAGGAGACTGATTAATATATACAGTTAAGGATATACAACCCCAAACTCGATAAATATATTGGGTTAGAATGTATATGGGAGAGTGGTTTGGGGACAAAACCCAGCAAATTTAGAGGTGTGTCTCAGACTGAAAAAAGTTGGGAAACAATGGACTCTACAAATGCCAAAACGATTGTCTGAAAATCTAAAAATTCAGTCAATCAAATTCATTTTGTTTATATGTTAATAAACAAGTAATGTCATGCTTTAAAAATCAAATTGGCTAAATTTTTCCCACTGAATTTGTCAATTCTGTTGGTAGTTTTGACCTTGTGTAAACACAGCCTAAACCAGTATCTAATTTATTAATTAAGCCAGCCATGCAAATTAGCAAAGACCCATAACCAGAACTTGGAAGAAATTAGGTTAAATCTACAAGAAATTAGAGTGTTGGCGAGTAAGTTTTAATCAAGTACCAGACTTCTTCAGGCTATTGTTGCTCACTGCCATCAGATTCATCGCTATTATGACGACCGGTAAATGTGAGAAAACTTTTCTAATTTTGTGGGGCTGATAGGGATTTTTAACCACCTCAACACTAAATACGTAATTTAATTTGGAGTATGGGATAAAGATATCTCAAGAATATAAAAGACTTTTATGCTGAAATGACTTTTAGTAAAACCTAACACTTGAAATTATTTGGAACTTTATCAATATACTATAGTATCTACACATGTTAAATTATTTTAATTTGACATTTTATTTTTGCAATGAAAATTTATGGTCTACCACATTCATGCATTTCCTAATCTGATCAAGAAGTTAAGTTCCAACTATTAACTCATGGAATAATTAACTTGGAAAAAGCTCATCAAACTGTAAGCAATGGTTGATTCTAATTCTTTCTTCACTTTCAAAAGCACTGGCATGTCAGAGATTTCTGTTAATACACATCTGTCCTAATTTGTTAACCACAGACTCATTCAAAAAAAGAGTTCCAATCACTTTAGAAATCACATTTTAGGTGTTTGAAGTCAGGTGATAAGTTTGTTGAGCAACTGTCAGCGTAACTGGTAAATAACCTTTTAAAAAATTGAGTGTGTTTTCACTCTTATCACTAAATGAAAAAGCTGTTGGGCAGGGCTTGTGTGCATTGTGCCTCAAGCACCAAGTATCTGCCGATTCAGAAGAAATGGAACATCTTAGAGTTTTATCATGCATATCCTCTGAATGACTGGGGCAAATACTCATAACTAACGAAGACCTCACTGTAGGGCCTTTGTGAGTCATCCAGAAAATAGTAAATCCATCTGGACCAGAGTTGCACCTTATACTCATGAAGACTGTTCAGCTGCAGTTATGTAGAAGAAAAGGCAGGGTTATTTGAAGGTGACTGTGTAGATGTAACAATTAAGAGACTAACATGATTTCATGTTTATGTATATCTTTAGGCAAACCTAAAATACAGAATTATATAACGAAAATGTAAAAATTAGGATGATTACTAAAATTTAGGCTCTAAAATGAAATTATATAATGAAAACTAAAAAATTTAGGATGATGAGTTTAAGGGATTATTCACTTTTTAATATTTCATCACAAGATTGCTTTAAAGGGCAGCTCCAATGAAACATTAAAAATAATCACACAAGTTTGATTTCTATATAACTGTTTGGTATATATTAGTTTGAATAATCCTCCTATCATGTTCTGTGATTGTGTGGGAGGCTTAATCACTAAGACTTTCTAAAGCAACATTTTAATCAGGGCAAGCACATTTATTCTAATTTTCCTGAATTACTACCACTCATATAGCTTCCAAGTTAAAAATATATTGTACTACAAAATTTTGTTGACAAGGTTAAATTCTGAATGCCTACAGAAAGGAAGATAATTTGCAAATATAGTTTACCCAAGCTGAAAGGGTAGTATTTCTCACCTAATTAATGATTACCTCCTTAGACAGGAGCACCACTACACAATTATTTGCTACTATTCCACTATTTTGATTTTCTATTTTCTAACACGAATCAGACAGGTGAGATCAGAAACCCAGGTCTTCTAATGTAGCTAGCTGACTATGGACCACAGCATTGTAAGAGAAACAGGCAGGGTGATGATCTAGAAAGAATGCGAAGACCTGGGTTCATGTCCTGGCCCTAACTGTTATTACCTATATGGACTTGGGCAACTCACAAATGCCTGGAGCTAATTAATTAGTTCCTTAATCTCTCAAATGAACATTATAAGGGTACTAAATTATATCTCACAACAGTTTCTATGAAACAATAAAATCACACTGGATTTTATCATAGGAGCTCTGTCCTCTGTGGTGACAACATACACATTAGTGATTAGCTACTACATTCCAGTGCAGCTGGTCATTTCAATGTGCAGAACATTTAATATTTGTAACTTGAGGAATGTCTTTTTTAATGATGCCAACTTAATGCAATCTATTATGTTACTCTTTATATATTGAGAGGATCTTTAGATTCTTATAATGCAATCCCTTTCTAGGTTGGTTTTTAAATAGAGTGCACAGACATTCTTACACATAGGTTCCTTCCCCACCCCCACTGCTTCCTAATGATGCAGGATTTTCCATGACATCTGGTCTCAGTGTCAACAACCATTTATAGCATATCAGCTGTAATGAGCAGCAACTGTTTCCAAGTTTTGTTCTGTACTTTCATATGAATACAATGGCAATTTCTTTCAATATGATTCAAAGTTTTCTTGAAACTGTTCAAATGACTCAAAGTACATAGGCAGGTTGATGGAATCACTTTCAGAACTGGAAGAGACTTGGGAGATAAAATAACTCAAACCTTTCCGTTTCTACATGAGGTAGGGAGGCCCAAAAAGATGAAGCTGAGACCTGAAGCTAGATTTTCTAATTCCTTCCTTTTAAAGACGTGATACTAAAGAAGCTCCACCAATTGTATAAAAAGTTATTTTTAAAAGGTAGTCCATTCAGCAGATGTTTTTAGAAGAATTTGAAGTACTCAAAAATATTTACTACCCATATCCAAAACTTATGAAAAAAACATAGTTTTAACCTTGCTTTACCAATTATCATAATCTTTATTAATAAATTGATTTGGCAAAGGCAATAGCCTTTAGCATTAACCATATCAGGCTTTTATTTGTGCACATCTAGAAGATGTGCCATCTAAAAGACTCAACCATTAGGAATATATATGTAAAATCATGTGTGTTTTACTTGTTTTTAAATTTTTGAATATTATAAAAAGAGCAAATTACTAATTTTATTATCCCATATTATTTAATTCTTAAATTCCTTTGGATATTATTTTTTAAGGACTAAAAATTTGTCTTTTAAAATTTCTTTCCTCTATTGGAGAATCTCACTCTTTTAACAGAAAACCATCCTCTGCTTGGCATGTTTTCTGTCACTTATCTTTTGCCAAAGAAGGTGCAAATGAAGCTCCCCAATATAAACTATTTCTTTTTTTTTTAGTTTTGCATGAATTGAAAAGCTTGAATGTCAAGCTCACTTGTCTCATTTGTATACATGGTACAAGGGATTTTAGCTTTTATTTTTGTGTGGAATTAATGCCTGAATTCATGTACTTAGCACAAGGAGTTTCTAGCAGATGTATGTGCTATAAGTTTGCAATTAGGAAGTACTCTTTCTATTGCTATGCATATATGAGCAAGTTCATAAGAATCCTTCTGTATTCCATTCCTGTTTATTCATTTACTTCCACATTATCAGCACACACTGCTGGGTAGACTGAAAGAACCAGAGTGTAACTAACTGCAGTGGGAGAGTGCCAATTACCCACAGCTTCTCCACTGCCTGACAAACACTAGGCACTCAACAAAGAAATACTGGAATGGCTAAATGAATTATTAAATTTATCAAATACATACTTTGTTTCAAAAATATCTAAATATACATACACAGATGATGTGTTCCTTAAACTTTTATCTAAACATAGCTCTGAGAAAAGTATAATACTTGTGATTTTATAATTATCCAAAATATAAATTTCACAGGTTGATATATCTACTACCCATGGTTAACAAGAATTTACTGGCCGGGCGCTGTGGCTCGTGCGTGTAATCCCAGCACTTTGGGAGGCCGAGACGGGCGGATCACGAGGTCAGGAGATCAACACCATCCTGGCTAACACAGTGAAACCCTGTTTCTACTAAAAATACAAAAAATTAATCGGGCATGGTGGCGGGCGCCTGTAGTCCCAGCTACTCGGGAGGCTGAGGCAGGAGAATGGCATGAACCAGGGAGGCGGAGCTTGCAGTGAGCTGAGATCGCGCCACTGCCCTCCAGCCTGGGCAACAGAGCGAGATTCCGTCTCAAAAAAAAAAAAAAAATTTACTAAGTACTTCTCATCTCCCCCCTTCCCTGAAAACTAATTCCTTTCTACTTTGGTCATAAATTTAATTTATTCCTATGAAACAGCCTTAAAGTTCCCATCACATCTCCAAATTCTCTTCATTAAAATCTCTCTCTTTCTCTCTCTCTCATATTCATCTATCCATCCGTCCAATGACATTTCCATTAAGTAATGTTCTTCTGAATAGGGGCTAATAGTAAAGGCAGCATTCTCTGCCGAGGCAATTCATAGGGTGTTAATTTGTTGCTAAAAGATTCAGTTGTGTGTATAAAGCCTCCTATCCAGATTGTTGTTCATGAAATAGTTTAGTAACCATTTCGGGTACATTTGAACTGCAGAAATCTTACTACCTTGTTTCAAACACAGTTATTTGAAAAAGCATAGCTTTATAACTATCTCCTTTACTTATTCTGTCAACTAAGTCATAGAAATTGTATTCTCCAGGTTCTTAAATGAGAAAATATATCTGATCTGACATTCCTTTATTTCTTGTGACATTAAAAATTGTCATTTGTTACTGCAACCTCACTTTGACCTAATATTTTTCTGAATGCAGTACTTGTCTGAGGTACTTCCTCCTTTCTGGGAAGAACATCATCAATATGCTTTTCACATATGTATATATATTGATTTTTTTTTTTTTTTTGTAGGGATGGGGGGTCTTGCTATGTTGCGCAGGCTGGTATTGAACTCCTGGCCTCAAGCAATCCTCTTGCCTCAGTCTCCCAAAGTGATTGGATTACAGGCATAAGCCACTGCACCGGGCCTACATACATATTTTTACATGATCCTTAATTCAATGGCCAGCAGGGTTTCATGCACACAAGGTCTGTTCTTGTTTTGCTCAGTAATGTATGCTCACATTTAAAATGATGCCTTCGTGGTTCCTGAAGGAATGTTTGATGAATATTCATTCTTCTCTTTTTGTATTTGAACTTTAAACCACCAATTCACAAATATCCAACACTGAGTTACAGCACTCAGCTCTTCATAAAGAATCTATCTATCTATCAAGTTTATTTATTTATTTATTTATTTATTTATTTATTTATTTTTGAGACAGAGTCTCGCTCTGTTGCCCAGGCTGGAATGCAGTGGGGCGATCTCTGCTCACTGCAAGCTCCGCCTCCTGGGTTCATGCCATTCTCCTGCCTCAGCCTCCCGAGTAGCTGGGACTATAGGCGCCCGCCACCACGCCCCGCTAATTTTTTGTATTTTTAGTAGTGACGGGGTTTCACCATGTTAGCCGGGATGGTCTCGATCTCCTGACCTCATGATCCACCCGCCTTAAGCACCCAATACTAATTGTCTTCATGTGGCAATTACTAATTAAATGTGGCAAATGCATTTTATTCTTCTTTGTCTCGTTTTCCAAAGGCTGTGGTCAATGCTACCTTACTGATTTTCTAAATGAAAAAGTTTTACTTCATACACCTGTCTACTACCAGATTGTACTGCCCCCTACTCTACATTATATCTTATTTTCTTTATTCCCAATGACACAGATTTTGTTTATCTCTGGAAGACCCATAGGCAGGACTATTTTAACCTTTTGATTCACTAAACTTAGAACCATTTCCACAAATTATTGTGGATGTTGCTAGCAAAATTATTTTCCTATCGTTTTGACTCATTCTTTGGTCTCTTTACAGGCTTTTAATTCATCCAACCAACTAAATTGAGAAGTAGTAGTTATTAAGCATGCAGACTTGGAATCAAATTTCTTAGGCACCAATCATATTTTACTAGTTGAGTGATCTTAAGTTCTTTCATTTGTGGTTGCTAAATTTTCGTTTACATACTATGAGGATGATCAGAGCACCTTCCTCATAAAGTTGTTCTGAAGATTTGTATGATAAGACAGCACAGGGTACATGGTAACTGCTTGATAAATGGCATCTTTTACCATTTTGCTTATTAAGACCCTGACTTGATCCAAACGCTCCCAAAGACTGCAGTCCTATCCCTGAACTGTACTGTACTGTTTATCACCACCACTAGATCCTCCTAATATTATCTAGATCTACATTAATTGGCCTGCCACTGGACACACCTCAGACAAAAGGCTGTGGTCCATGTATCCACTAGGTTCTGCCTGGTGCCGATGGATGTACCTTCTTGATGCTGATATCCCACCACCCTGACTCTTCTCCTATTGCTTGTTTCAGGGACATCCTGAAATTGCCTGTTGTACCTCAGTCTTGATTATAGGTCCTCATAATTTCCCACTGTCTAATGAGCCCCAGTGAGCAGCAGTTATTCAACTAAATAGTGATCTTTATTCTGAAGATATACTTATCTTCTTTATGTTATTCAAATATTAATGAACACTTAATAAGCTATTTTACTGAATGCTGCCTTTTATATTATAGATGTACTTTTGGTTGACCTTCATTCATTTCTAAATTGAAGGAATATGCTGCAGGTATTGGCCAGGTATAAGCCCCTACGTTAGGTACTGTGGAGTATCGCATTACGTTAAACAGCTATGGTTCCAGAGGGCTTATATACAAATTGTACAGCACTTATATCCTTATAGGTGCTGTTGATCATGATAAACATGACATTTCCTGTGTTTCTTTTTCTCACTGATGTGGACAAATTAAACTATGTGCATCAAACATTTCTATCGCACATCAATTAACATATTAATTAGTATATGGACACAAAAATAAATAGCATAGGAATAGTAAAGGCAAGTTTTTGTTTAAGGCCTGGTAATAAAAAATTTCAGCACTTGATCTTTTTAACTTTACTATATTGGTAAACATGCTATCACAAGCAATATATTTATCAGAGTATACATCATGGGTATAAAAGGCACAAAACAAAGGCAGGGATTTGGCACGTTCAAGAGGTTCATCAACTGCCTCTAATGCACGTGTTTTGAACTCTCTCAGTGTGTTTATGAAATGGCCTACTGAAGCAAGCACTGAGAACCAGACTCAACTGAAATCCATCCAAGTCAGCAATTTGACACAAACTAAGACAACAACTAAAAAAATTATAACAAGCTCTCTCAAAAGCTCATTTCTGTCCTTTCCCAGAATCAGAATAAGAATGGAGAGCAAAAGTACTTTCCCTGCCTTAAAGAAATCTGGTGGGGAATGCAGCAAGTTATTTCTTTTGCTAGTAAGCCTCCCTAAAAATCATCTGCTTAAGTTTTTAATTAGTGACGTTAGCTCATACGTCAGAGAATATATTTTTCTTCACAGCCCATGTCCTATTAAAGTTCCAGTCTTTGAAGTGCTCACCTGATTCCAGATGTTTAGAGAAGTCCTGTATTACGATTCCACAAAAAATATCTTTAAAGTTATGGAAGAGGATTCACATTTTTTAATACTTGGCTTTTAAAGTCCACTTATGGTTATATAACATGGAGTAAAATGTTTCAAATAATAAATTTATAGAAGTGTCTGAAAAAAAATTGCACAAATGATGTGCATGTTCATATATGTTCACTTAAAAGGAAAGTAGTGCTGTGGGTTCTGAGAGGTAACAAAAGGGGCTCTGTCTGTAAATGGCCAGTAAAGAATTTTTGAGGTGACTGTAAAATACATGAATTTTCAAAGAAACACACTGCTTTTGCTTTATACTAATGGGTACATTTGGTAAGTGTTAGCAGATATACAGTCCGATCTTGGCTCTTCAGAAGAAAATGCCCTTAACCATACCTTTGCTTTTGATATTTAAAACTCTCAGAATTAAATGAAATCAAAAGATTGCAGAAAACTAAGGCAATGTTTTGCTTATAAATCACATCTTCATGTAATTGGTTTAGAGATATAGTCTTCTAGAACATTAAGTGACTGGAAATATGGATTTATAATTTTTTTTATAACCAGAAAAGTCTGCACGTGAGAAATAAGTCTAGGTCCTCTCACTAAACACACATAGTTTTAGACATTCTAAATTATCCTTTGTCACCTTTGTCCTAATGCCTAGAAAATGCTGAGTTTGAAAGAATCAAAACTATATACAGTGCTCACATTTACTATTTTACTCATCCAGTAGTTTTTCTTTTCGATTTCTAGGCTTCACTATTTTTCTGAAATTCCACAGGTAAAACTAGAGTGCTGGGAAATGGAGACGGAAAATTAATGAAAAAGTACTCCCCTTGTGAGCTATTTCATTTCTAAATGATCTAAAAATTCTCTGTCCTCAAGGGTATCAGAAGCTGAGTGAAGTCTTAAGGGTATCAGTAGGCATTCAAATGAGAATATGTATATAGGGATATCCATATATATTTGCTACATAAATATTATTTGATGATTAAATTTGTTTTGCTTTCTTTACATCTGTAGTTTTAGAAGACACTATTATCTTGGTCTTTAGGAATATAAATAAATAAAAAACTAAGAGGCCTCAGTGTCCTCAGAATTCCTAGGACTAATGTTAAGGGAAAGAGAATGTCAGAATTCAAAATGAGGTTCTTTAGCACATAATCGTTTAGGCTAAAACTTCACCTAATAACTTTATCTCTACACACTTTATAATTTTACTAAGTATTTACATAATATTGGGTATATATCACATGAATATAAAATGTTTGATCAATGTACACAGAACAAATTTAGAGTGAAGATCATCAAACCCTACTGAAAGTCACATTAATGCTATATCCATCCTTACAAGGAAAGAAATATAGCATCCTATTTATTGTTAATGTTGGGAAGTTATTTCTATCTGGATAAATCAAGATTTATATGTCTCAAGTGTGTGTTAGAGATGAAATAAGAGAGACTGTGGTGAGGGAAAGTTCCTGAGTAACGTGCTGGAATAAGTCCACACAACTTTATTGCTCATATTTTTGCCTTTACAGGCATAATTGCAGCTGAACAGTCATTAGGAACTGTGTGGTGGTTTATCTTCTTCAACCGCATTACTCACCTTCAGGTCCCGATGGACCACGCCCATCTGATGGCAGTGTAGCACAGCCTCCAGGATCTGCTGAATGCAATGACTGCATGCAAACACCAGGGGGCGTGTGTTAGTTCCAAGCTTACACTCACTGTCTGTATACCCTCAGAGAGACTGGGTTAAAGTGCAGAGCTAGCAGACAACTGGGGTTGTATTGTACCACCTTCAGTCATGTAAACATATTGCTCAAGTAGAGTGACTACTACCTCAGAACAATCAGATCTTACCAGATGTGAGCCAGAATGTGGGTCCATTTGTTCTAGAAAAATCCATTTTGAAAACACTTTATGTCATTCAAGAGATCATTTCCTGGTTATAAATTCTTCCAGGAAATAAAGTGGAACACAAATATAATCTTTATAGCTGTGGTGTTCCGCCTCCACCCCGTCACATAAATTGTTTCCCTTTTCTCTCCCATTTTTCCAGTATTGTTCTAAAAGCTGTCACATTAACAGTCAGGGCACCACTAAGGTTAAATTAAGATACCTAATGAATTTTTGATAAATCATTAACTTCTTGTGCTTTAATTTAGCTGGCAATTAATATCTCTTGCCTAAGGGTTCATCAGACTCAAATGGAGCAATGCGTAACCAGTTGTTCTGCTACAGCAACCCATGGTCTCAGAACAGAAGTGGTGTTTAAAATCTACAGGCGGACATACATCACAGGCCAAGTTTATCTCCAGGCAAATGCTGGGCAATTCAAGAAAGCCTGCTCCTCAATCCCTTTTGGTAGGTAGTTTACTGCTTGGAAACTTAGCAGGTTGTATTCTTTAGTATTCTTCCCTTTTTGCTATGATGTATATTTAGCCTGTAGATGAGCAAACTGGAAGAGGCATCATGCATTATCATTTCATCATTTACTCATTTTAGAAACAAGTTGGGAAAGGCAAGGGAACCATTTTAAATACCCACCCTCTGCCCTTTCCCCAGAAAAAAAAATAAAACTGCTTTGATTCAGATTTATGGACTCCATATACTGACCTTCAGGTCCCTGTGAACTATGCCATTTAGGTGACAATGATTAACACTTTCTAGAATCTGCTGTATACAATGACTGCAAAGATACAAGGGCAGAATGGAAGGGAGAACATTTTAAAGGCACATAATCACATTGAATATGAAATAAAATGAAAGTCCCAATGAAACAAACAAACAAACAAAAATTATATTTCTTCACTTTTTTTAGCTTTACGTTGGAATCAAATAAAGCTGAATAAAGCTAATTTTGGTTCTAACAAAAATGACATCCAACATAGACTTTGTGACATGTTCAGACAAAACAATTTGAGTTGTGTTGTTTTCATTGTAAGTGTACAAATTAAATAATATGTATAAGAAGGTAAAATCTCCATATTTAGAAAGAAAAATTTATAAAGAATTCCCATAATGTTCTGGGAAAATTCTTCAGAGATATAAAATTTCCAGGTATTTCTTATACACATCTAAACTGTTTAAAATCTGAGGTCACAATTAAACAGGTGTTGAAACAAGAGGGTAAACACAGATGAAGTGGCAGGTGAAACAAGGGTCAAAAAAAATGGAGGGACACATTTACCATTTCGCCTTAGAAGCGTTGCTTTTTGTAAAGTATATAACAGGAAAACAAATGCAAGTCTCCAACAATAAAGGGAGAATTTAAAGTAAACTCATGAATAAAATAAACCCCTCTTTAGTGTAAGAATACTTTGGGGAAGAGCTAGGGAGCTTTCAAAGAATAAATAAATACAAATTTACAATCCCCTGGAGCATTGGTAATTATTAAACCCACTTCCATACACTTCAGTGAAGAAAAACTTTTGCTTCATACTATATCAAAATGCACATTTTATGCTATTCTTATTAAGGGTTCACTGATATCAAATGGGACTGCTAATTAGAGAGGAGAAATCCTTGTTTGGCACCTATAAGGTCCTGTGAACTGTCATCTGACATATAATAATGCAGAACACATCACACTGATGAATTTTGTATAAGTTCACTGTGCAATTCAAATGCAAGTACATCCTGAACTACATTTATTCATTGAAAGATGAAGCAAACATTTTAATAAGGACATTTTCAACCACTTAATGTATAAAATAATATTATTCTAAAGAAAAATCTTGAATTTAAAAAAGTAATCACCATCTGATTTATTACAATGTAAATATTTTAAAAATTGATCATGACTATGATTTTCTAGCTCTTTTATTAACAATACCACTAAAAGCGTCTCACATTCATTGCTGTTGACTACATTGTTTATTTGAGTATTGGTCATTATTTTTAAACCATAGGAATCTTTTTTCTTTTACAATAATGTTCACTTTGCACTACTCTTTAAGAATATTTCTCTTCCTGTTCTCAAACAACAAGCATAAATTATTGAATCTTGGGAATAACAGAAGATAAAGAAGTAAACAATAACACATACTAAATGGACTTCACCATTTTTTTTACTAGTGAGAATGGATTCAATTCTTAAATTTTTGAGAACTAGTAAAAAATTTTTACAATTTTTTGACAATCAAATAGCCTCTTTTGAGACAGGGTCTCACTCTGTCGCCCAGGCTGGAGTGCAGTGGCATGATCTCTGCAGCCTCCACCTCCCAGGTTCAAGTGATTCTCCTGCCTCAGCCTCCTGATTATCTGGGACTACAGGTGCATGCTGCCACACCTGGCTAAGTTTTGTATTTTCAGCAGAGACAGGGTTTCACCATGTTGCCCAGGCTGGTCTCGAACTCCTGGGCTCAAGCAATCCTCCCACCTTGGCCTCCCAAAGTTCTGGGATTATAGGAGTGGGCCACCACATCTGACTGAGAAATAGCCTCTTTATGTATTTAGAAGGGAATGTTCCTTCTCTTTGATTTTATCGGAGAGCTTTCATAAAAAATATCTTAGAGCTCTTTAGCAGTAAAAATAGTCTCTATTTTAATTTCAACCAGTATTTTTCAAACCAAGTAACAGCCTGCTTAACATAACTTTGAAGGGTAACATTAATGAAATTCCCTAGTTTAGTACCTTGATTAAAAGTATTACTGTTTCTTGGCAAGTGGCCAAATAGCTACTTCCAGAGGTTCCCCATGGCCCCTTTCAGGACCCTAATGTGGGGATTTGGGGTAAACTGAGCAAGTGATGATTCACTCATCATAGTATAAATTACACAGAATTTTCTATTTGACTTTGGCCATAAAAATTCCATTAAAAAATTAGAGCGTAGTCATGTACAGATAGATTCACAAAGTGCCATAAACAGTGCATTAAACCAAGAAGAAAAATTAGAAACTTAGAAGTGTGCCTCTGAGGGCAAGGAGGGGCTGGGAACCTTAATATCAGCTGGACATCTGTTGAGGGTCAGGCTACAATGGGATTAGCAAGCCTTGGGAAGCTCTGATGGCATTGGAGAATGGGAGCAGAGTCAATCTCTGCTCCCAAACATCTCATTTACATTGCTAATAATGAGCCAATCACTCTTGATCAGATTTTTAAAAATAAATGACAGCTACAGAATATATAAAAGTACACAGGAAAATTTACACCATGCAATCCAGTAACATCTAAGCAAGTGGTTAATGTTACTCCACTCCAAAAGTGTTGCCTTGGATAGCCTAGGAAGTTGCAAATTAGACAAAAAACTTAGCCTTTTTTAAACTTTTGTAAAGATTTTGCCAATTAACAAGATTGAAAAATTACTCTTGAACTCTCTTAAATGCCTGAATAAATATATTTCAACTCAGGGGTTCAAGGGTTTTAATGAAATTTCCAAAGAGTTAATTAGCTAATAATAGTTCCTTAAAGAGACCACTGAGACTTTTTTCAGGCTGTTTCTGTTTTCTGATTAGATATTCATTGTTCAGTAGAACTTTCTGTGATGATGAAAATGTTCTATATCTGGTCTGGCCAATTGGTAGCTACTAGACACTTGTGGCTACTAGGCAGTTGGCTAGACCAACTACATGGTTAGACCAACTGAGAAATAAATTTTTAATTTAATTTAATTTTAATTAATTGAAATTGCAATAGCCACATGTGACTACTGGCTACCACTGGGCAACCTAGAATCTATCTAGGGATTAGAGGATTTCAATCTTTGATCTCTGACTTTCACTAAAAAATATATTGCTTTAGCAGAAGTCATTCCAATTAGGTGGGGTGTTTTGGTTTGTTTTTCCTTGTTGTTTTTGATAAAATATGTAATCTAACTACAGATGCTAGATAAAAATATAGACCAGATTCATGGAGTTTTTTTTCTCTAAGAATCATCCCGGAGATCCTTAAAACATTTGTTTGTACAAACATGCATTTGTAAAGAAATATGCTGAAAAAGTATTATTTGAATGTTGAGTCTTGTATCTTGCCCAGGGCAAGTCACTTACCTGGCATCAGCTTCACTGTAGTATTCTCTTGCCACTATGTCTTCAAACAGTTCACCTCCAGTAACTCTGGGAAGATAAAAAACATAATCACTTTTAAAAAGAAGCAAAAAAAAATAAGCATCAATAGATTTGCAAATGTGTTCATATAGCTGTTTTTCTTAGATGATTTAAAAAAAATCAAAACTTTTTAAAACATGAGACAGTGTTCGTAAGTCAAATCTATACTACACTAAACATTTTTATCTTTTTTATTTGTCTATCATTAGACACATGAGGTCACAATTTTCTGTATGCCATAAATATAGTAGGCAATATCTTTCGCAGAAAATGGTTTTCATTTCAATTTTTCAAATATTAATGATATCTGACAAAATTTTGGCACAGTTTAGAAACACTTTCTGAACAAAAGGAGATGATACACATCATAGCTATTGAGTATGAGTTTCCATGTATCCTTTTGCTATTTTTGCATGTGTGCATCCTTAAACATGTATTTTTCCCCTTGAAAACACACACATAAAAATAGATGCTTTTCCCACAAAAGTGGGATCACGTGCTATATGTAAATAATTAAGTTAATTGTATTTGTCATTTTACATGAAATTATGGGCACCATGTCATATCAGAAGCATTTTCCCCTAATTTAACGTAACATAGCAATTAATAGAGATATGCATATGCGTACATACATGCGTGCACACACGTGTATGTGCATATTAGAGGGTATCTCTGAAAGAGAAATTCTTACAAGTAAAATTACTGGGTGAAAGAGTACCCACATTTAAAATTTTGTAGAGCAGACAGGGCAAATCACCTTCCAAAATGGTTGCACCCTGAAAATTGTGAAGGTGCTCACAGACCCAAATCATTACTAATAATAGTTATTATTAATAAATACAGAACACCTATTCAATTGTGGAAAAGTTAATATGAATTTCTTGGTTATTAGCGAGGTAGATCATTTTCTCATTTATCAACCATTTCTTCCTCTGCTATGATCTGGCTTGATTTTAAAAGGACATTTCATCTTTGGGGTTTAACCTTGTAAGAGCTAACATTTGCTGAGTTCTTACAATAAACCACACAGTGTACTAAGCTTTATATTAACTTATAAATCCTCACAATTGCCCGCCGAGCAATTCCCCTCCCAGTTTATTGATGAGAAAATGGAGGCCCAGAGAAGTTAAGTAACTTGCCCAAGATCACACAGCGTTTAGTGACACAGGCAGGCCATCCACTCCACAGCTCATGCCCTCAACCACTCCACAGTGCAGATTTTCCAATAATGACACTGCCAGTCTTTCCAGTTTAGAAGGCATGAGTCATTTGGAAAAGCATCAAGTAAAGGTATAGAGCTTCATGTATGAATACTATAGAGTGAGATAAAAGGATGCTAAATTAGTTTTTCTTTTTGTTCACTTGTTTGCTTTTTTGCTTTATTAAGTTCTGAAACATCATCAAAGGATAGCATGTTTTAGAGATCACCAGTTAGTATTCTCTCCCTTATTCTCCTTTCCAAAAGGAAAAGATGGGATGCTAAAAATTATAAACATGTCTGAACATTTATGCAACTTCTGCCTCTCTTAATTGCATTCTGGATACCTCAAAGTCCTTTAACGTCCGTCATTATTTCCAATTCTATTATTTTCACATATAAAATGTTTACCTAAGATTATCATATAAATCTTCATATAGGCATGTTCTAAAAACCATGGTTACATGTACGTAATTCCATTTAATAGCATAGCTATTTATTCCGATTAGAATCTATAATAAGGCAATCACACAATGTACCTTACATAAATTACAATGCAAAATAGTTAGACAAAAAACACTTTCAACAAGTCTACTGTTGCCTGTATAGTGACGATAACAATTTTGTGAGATTTCTTCCTTTGAATGTGACTGATGTATTATAGATATAATATATACTCGTAGTTATCCTTGTTTTTGACTATAAGTACCTAGAAAACCTACATACATTACAGACAATTTTGGATTGTTAAAATGTTTAATAAACATTGATTAAAGTCTACTGACATTAATAAAATTGCTGCTATTTATAGGCTCCTTAAACATGTTATTTGGCCTATGAAAAATACCAGATCCTGGATCACTGGGCTCTCAACTTACTGATCTTTGTTATGTTAGCATCTAACCTAGCATTAATACATATTTGCTTAATTAATGACTCTTGAAGTAATGATTAAATGAATTAACCCAGTTAGAGAATCATGCTATCCATTTCATTTACTGTAAATCTGAACTTTACATGAGCTTAAAAAAAATCATACAAATACCAAAGTTTAGCTATACATGGCAATAGATTTTATTTCCTAAGGGGTTCGTATTTAAAGGAGAATATTTAAAAAGTCAGGGGGACTAGCATTCTGGTAGTTTTCAATAAATCATAATAGCTTTAGACAAATTTGAGGGGTGTAGAGTTTCATGTTGAGTTTTAGATTATGTAGTTAACTGTGTCTGACAACATTCTCTCTCCTAGTATTCATTCGTCCCATTATTTAAAAATATCTTTACACAAATGAAACCATTTTATCATTTCTTCTATATGTATGATAAATGTCTGAAAAGGAAAAAATATCAGTTATAATAGAATTCAATGTCTTGAAGAGAAGCTACTGAATTTTCTAACTTTAACATATTTTTATACTCACATTATTTTTTAATAGAACACAAAATTAAGCCATAGTTATTAGATATTTTTGAAAATTTTTACTGTGCTTTGTGAAATTTCATATAATGCCCAAATTAAATCAGTCTCATGAATAAATTGTTAATTAACTAATTAGAGATTTTGTGAATAAATTGATGTCAGAGTTCTACTATGATATGAAGGATATCAATTATAAATTTGAAGCATTAATTACCATTTATGAAATCTCCAGAACATTAGGGCTCACAAGGAAAAAAAAAGATAACTCTAGAACATGAAAAAATGAGATATGTATCAGAAAGATAAATATTTGTTACTGTTGTTATTTATAGTGATGTTGATTCACACTGTATTATTACCCTGTATAATAAATTGTTCTTCTGTTTCTAGTGTACAATTTGCAATTCCCATCAGAAATGGTCAAAATTAATTTCATCCAGAATACAACATTTGTAAAATTTCATCAGTAATAGATCTTTGACCATGAGGCTGAGCAGCAAGTAGAGTCAAAGACTGGGATTTAAAAAATAAAATGGTGCCACATTAACCCAAGGAATAGCACTGACTTGGAGATTAAAAGCAGTGCTCGAGGTGGTGGGGGAAAGCCAGGAACTTCAGGTTGGAGCTGATGGGAAACAGGAACCAAGAGCGGCACCCAGTTAATGCACAAGTAGGAGGCAATCTTGCTAAGGTAGGACTGGGACTAACTCTGGAAAAAGGAGTAATTTCCCCTGGGAAATTAACTTAAAGCTGAAGAACAAACCTAGTGAGATGAGATTGCCAGACCTGAAATCCAAGCGTTTGAGCAGTGGTAACAGAGGTTCATTAAGCAGTTAAGCGAAGAATCACCACAATCAGATTTTTATTTGTAAAAAAACATATCTCCTGCTGCCTTGCATTTAAGCAATTGGTATCTCTTCATTTAGTGATGAAGGCAGAAGTTGTAATGGTGACAGATTCATCCGCGTCACCTGCATGGTCATCCAACACACTGTCTTCCACTTGTTGAACAATAACAATAACAATAAATATTCATTGGGTGCTTATTGTGTGTGCAACTACCTGGATATCTGTGCCCCCTCCCCAATTAATAGGTTAAAATCCTAACTCCCAAAGTGCTGATATTAGGAGGTGGGGCCTGTGGGAGGTAATGAGGTCATGAGGGTGGAGCCCTCATTTGGGGTCGTTACCAAAGGGACTCCAGAGAGCTCTCTCCTCTCTTTTCTCCGTGTAGAGATATAAGAAAAAGTCAGTAGCCTGCAATCCAGGAAAGAGCCCTTGCCAGAACCAGACCACGCTGGCACGCTGATACGCTGATATCAGACTTCCAGCCTTCAGGACTGTGAGAAATGTCTGTTGTTCAAGCCACCCAAGCTATGGTATTCTGTTAAGCAGCCCAAAAGACTAAGAAAATGTGCCAAGACTAAGTGCTGTTCTAAGTGCTCTAGAGATTGCAACACAGCAACCCTATGAAGTAGATACTAGTGCTATTTCTGTTTTATAGACAAGGAAATGAAAGTAATGGAGATTAAGGTCATTTCCCAAGAACACACACAAAAGAAAGGAAAAGGACTAGCTTTTTCTTGTCTGTGCTGCCCTACTAGCTTGCCCCTTGGACACAATTTGGGGAGCAGAGAAGGGTAAGACAAGGGGCTCGGAATACCCCAAAGGATCATGCAGAAAGACTGGGAAGAATACAGACATAAAGAATTCCCACTTATGTGCCCTTTAATCATTGATTAAAGTCAGACAGTTTGAGTACTGGTGAGGGCAGGAGAGTAGTCACTGGTCAGTGTGAAGCTGATCAGGGCTCATTAGTAGGAGTGTTACTGGGTGTCTTGGCTGGATGATTCTATATTACGAGTGTGCAGATGTCCTGTATAAGGCAAGACTGTCAGCACCAGGCCCTGTTCTAGGTGCGGCAGAACTACCTTGTCAGCGTGCCAACCAGTGTGCCAAGTCCATCCATTTCTAGTTACCCCAGGGGCTCCCCAAAGACCCCTGAAGGGAACCATGTGTCTAAATGAACAAAGTCTATGGGGATACAATGAAAAATGTGGGTCTCCTTAGCACCATGTTCTAAGATATAAAGTAAATCAAGCCAACCACTGGTGTAAGGGTCTGTCAGGCAGAGCACATGACCGATAATGGGACATTGTCTCTTCAGCACCTTACACAATGCCTGGCTCACAGGAAGAGCTTAATAAATGTTTTCTGAGTGAATAAGTGATTAAATAATTAAATGGGGGAATGAAACTATAAGCACCACTTCATGATTTTCTGGTTTGACCTGTTATTTGAGCTAGTACCTCAGGGTGAAGAGGCCCAACCACTTTTTCTATTATGTAGGTACAGATCTCTAACTAAATCTTGCTGATTATATCTCCAAAACAGGACTTGAATCAAGACTTCTATCTCCACTACAATGTCACCAGCCTAAGTCTCTGCTATCTCTCACATGTACCACTGCAATAACTCCTAATGGGCCCCATTTCCTATCTTGCCCCCCAGCCCCCATATCAACTCTCCACACAATAGCTTTAAATGTACATCCAATTTTGTCACATGTCTGCATGAAGCTCTTCAATGGCTGTACACTGATTTTTCAGGCCAACTCCTGATATGACCTTCATGTCTCCGCTTAATTTGTATCCCACCTATCTTCCAATTGAGGCCCTCTCTTTCTTGCTCTAGTTGTGATGGCCTTCCTCCAGTTCCTCAAGCATAGTAAGCTCCTTCCTGCCCTAGGGCCTTTTCACATGCTTGTCTCTCTTCCGGGAATTCCCAAGAACACTCATGGAGAAGGAGAATGTCAAATTTGAAAGTAAGTGGTCTTTCTGCAGTGTCTGTGAGGTGACAGTCATTTATAGCATCCTTTCTATGTCTTTATGGAAATCTTAATAATGAATTCAGGGCTGTGCAAGCTGTGTTTTGCAGATTAGCTCTTATGTCTTACCATAGTACTTATCTTTTTTGATTTGAGGCTGGTTTACTGAGTCAGATTACCTCTTCAGAAGCCTATAATTTGTAACTGCATAGTTTTGCACCAGTCCTACCCTTAGCTCCCCAAAATTCCCCTGGGCACATATACGTATATTATGAGCATGGATGAGTTGATATAATAATGCACTCAACTCTTTGGAAAACACAACAGCTGATACCAGAGTACCTGTGCATATATAAAACACATTTTAAAAATAGAAAAACACTAATAGTCTACTCAGATAGATTAGTGAGTGCCCTGATGGGGCATTAGGCTTCCCTGCCAAGCATAACCTTTGGTCCCTGAGATGTACAGTTCTTGGAGTTGAACCTGGGCCCAGACCCAAAGATGCAAGACACTCTTTTGGAGGTGAGGAATCTGGCTGAAAAGAGTTGGTTACATACTAGACCCAGAGTTGGGCAACAATAATCTCCCATTAAAGTAGTGAGACAAAAGGAGAAATAACACACTCACGTAACTCACAATGTAGTTAAACCACATATACAAAAGTTCAGTTTTCATAATCACCATTTAACTTTCTGCTTCATCTATCCAAGCTAACTGAATAACCAAGTCACATTTTTAAGAGTTAATTTTCATATATGTATAGTAACTGTTTTTAATTCTTGAAGTCATTAATTTTTATTGGCCCCAATATTTTTAGTAATTTGCTATCAATAATTTTTATTATGGCCTCGATATTTTTAGTAATTTGCTATCATTAAATTATATATGCAGTTGGCCCTCTGTATATGAGGATTTGACAATGGCAGATTCAACCAACTGAGGATCAAAAATATAGTATTCAAAAATAAATAAGTATACAGGAGGATGTGCATAGGTTATAGGCAAATACAGTATTATGCCATTTTATATCAGGGACTTCAGTATCTGCAGATTTTGTTATCTGAGAGGGTCCTCGATTCAATCTTCTGTGGATAGTGAGGAACAACTGTAATACATACATATACACACACATACACTACTATGTCATGTGTGTATATATATATGTAATTTCACTTATAAAATACTGATTTTGCCGGGTGTGGTGGCTCACGCCTATACTCCCTGCACTTTGGGAGGCTGAGATGGGAGGACTGCTTGAGCCTAGGAGTTCAAAAACAGCCTAGGTAACATAGTGAGAGCCTGCCAGGTGGGGTGGTATGAACCTGTAGTCCCAGCTACCCAGGAAGCTGAAGTGGGAGGATCGCTTGAGCCTGCGAGGCTGAGGCTGCAGAGAGCCATGATCGTACCACTGCACTCCAGCCTAGATGACAGAGCGAGACCCTGTCTCAAAAATAAATAAATACTAAAATCGAATATTAATTTAAAGAGGTAAATGGAAGATTACTAACATGTCATGCATTTCAAACGTTATCTGACCTATATACTCTACTGTGCATTAAAAAAAAACAAATGAAAGAAATCGCTGTATATGGTTTTGCAAGCACCACAGACATTCTAAAGATAACAAGAATATTTACAAAATATATTTTAAAAGAATAGAGAAGTCCATCTAATTAGAAACAATTTGAATACACAGAGGAATTATGTATTAACTATTGGAATTCGGTAAGCCTATCAGATAAATTAAAATCTCAATACCTATGCTATCTCTTGTCATTCACTAGACTAAGTTTCAAACACTATAATATGGACATGATTATTTTTATTTATCTATATGTTAAAATCATTGCCATTTAAAAATCCCTTGTATTATCACATTTTTTGCTCATATTTTGTTATTTATTATGCTTGGGTAATCCTTAGAGAAAAATTATAATCACTTTTAAAAATATCTGCCATTGGCTCACTGAAGAATGTTACTAACTGAGCATCATTACCTGATAAGCTACATATTATTAACGTCACATGTACTGAAACAGCCTAGGAATCCTACCAGGGTTAGGCTGAACCTTCCTGTGCATGTAAGATTTCACTGTTAATGCCAAGGCAACTGCCTTTGACTGAAAACATCATCACAGTTAAATTGTGTTTCACACGTTAATTGGGATGAAATCGTTTCTGTGTATCAGTAATTCATCTAAAAGTTAGCTTTGGTCATCAGAAAAATGAGCATTTATTTAGCCACAAAATGTGTAGATCATGTTATGAAAGCAGGAAAGCTACTGTAGATAATGGGTGAATTTATACCCCAAAGTTCAGATTCTAACATATTTCTAATCATCAATACTTCAGAAATAATCCTGAAATAGAGGTGACAGATGAGTGAAGCCACTGATTTGTTGATACGCCCCTATACGACAACAGGTTTTCCAGGTTCTGGAACATTGGGGGTTTCAAAGATGTCAGACAAGAAGAGATTCTATCATTTATCAGTCTTCAATACTCAGAAGACCAACAGATCCTCTGCTGGAGAGGAGATACTGTTACTGTTGATCCCTGTGAGTGTGTAGATGCTTACAAAGGAAGGGCTCAGGCTACAGTCGGCTGAAAGCTATTTAAATGGTCCTTCTTGTTTTGCGGATACCAGGACATCCCCTACCAAGTTCTCCAGTGAGCGACTCATTTGTTCTCACAGCATTTTTTTTTTTTTCCTGAAAATACAAATAGCTTCATGGAGAGTTAAACTTTGTCATTAAGCAGTGTCGTTTATCTACTAATTCTACAAATATTACTCAACTTTATTCATAATATGTGTGAGCTTTGCCCATGCTAATGGACAAGAATATAAAGAATCAAGTTGTAAGCTCTATCAAGCATCTAGTCTCGTGGAGAAAATAGAAACATAAATAAAAAATTATGTTCCTGTGGAACATGCTTTAAAGCATAGGTCTATTTTTAAAGCCATAATCCTTAAGACCTAGCAAATCCTAGACTCAGGAATTGTCCCATTTACAGAGGAAATATGTATACTTGTAAGTAAAAAAGTTTCACCCAATACTTACCTTTTTAGCATGATGAAAGGAAGAAGAATTAGCACAACTGGGACACATGTGGACTCTATCTGTGTAGACTCACTGATGAATACACAGTAACATCCACACTGGAACATTACACCAATCAGTGCCCCATGCCAGCCAGGAAGGCTGGGAGTCTTGCTGCATCTTGTCACTTATTGCAGTTTATGAAGAATTCTTGCTATTTCCCCTATTTCCTATGCTTCCTAGAGGGCTCCACACCACTGCTATATAGATTCAGGAAGTTACTCCATACAAAGGATAAGCAAAAAATGAAGAGGAAAAAATAGTCTCATAAAGGCTAAGGGAAAAGAGAGGAGAGAATAATGAATTCCTTCTGTGGGTCAGAGAAACTTTCATAGAGGAGGTGCTATCCAAGGAGGACCCTACATAAATGAGGAAGAGTTGGCCAGGAAGAAATGTGAGACATGAACACCTAGGAAGAAACAGGAGTTCAACTGCAAAGAGGAGAGAAAAAAGGAACAAAAGAGTTGGAAACAGGAATCTCAATTTCCCCTTATTTGATCTCTAACTTTCCTCTCATTCCTCACAATATTCAGGATATATTTTATTACTACAGGGACTTACAAGATAGGTGTGGTGGCTCAGGCTTGTAACCTCAGCATTTTGGGAGGCCAAGGCAGGAGGATCACTTGAGCCCAGGAATTCAGTCTGGGCAACATAGTGAGACCCCGTATCTATAAAAAATTTAAAAATTAGCTGGACATGCCTGGGCATGCCTGTAATCTCAGCTACTCAAGAGGCTTAGGGAGAAGGATTGCTAGAGCCCAGAGGGTAGAGGTTGTAGTGAGCTACGATCACACCACTGCACTTCAGCCTGGGAGACAGGGCTAGACCCTGTCTCTTAAAAACAAATAAAAAGGCTTACAAAAGCTACCTTTTCCCAAATGTGCTCAACATTCTTTTTGGTATACTCTAGTGACTGTGTTTTACAATGAAAACTAGTAGCTCATTTCTAGTTACATAAAATTTTCCCATTTATCTGAATAAAGGCTTAAGTCAATCTAGACATTTTTAAAAAGATAATGCCAGATTAATCTCTACACAGGCTTAACAGAAACGATGCTTTCTGAAGGGATGTCTGAGATAGTAATACCATTTTTTAAAAAAAGATCAAGAGTTATTGCCGGTTTTATTCCCAACCTTTTGATTTTGTCAGTAGCTAAGAAGTGACTTAGTAATTGTTTCTAGGTTTAACATTCATGCTCACAAGTTCTTCATGCTTCAGCTTAAGTGTTCTGTTGCCATGTACTACACATATCATCAGACAACAGATTTCTTATTTTTTACTGGCAATATAGTTGGGTCTCTGGAATATTACCAAATGGTTTATTGTATGTGTGCCTGCATACACGTGTAAACACAAGCATACACGCCCACTTAGTAAGCATTAAAGAAAAGCCTGATTTGCTCTAGTAATTTTAGCTGACTTTTTACTGGATATAAAATGTTCAATGAATTAAAAGAAAAAGCATCACTGTAAAGCTGCATAATTCAATTTAATCTGAAAAGAGTCTAGTCTGAATAGCCATATTTCTAAATTATGGAATATTTTTCTAAGGAAATGAAAACACATTTCTTTTAAGTAAAAGGTGATAAAGTCTTATTTGACTCCTTTACAAATTATAAATTCTGCCAGAGCTCCATTAAGAAACAGCCAAGCAGAGGCATGCCACATGCAAATTACTGTGTTAAGTAATTATCTAAAATCTTATTTATACTCATTTTCTAAGCACAATGCCTATTTAGAATACAGAGATTGAGGTAAGTCTAGATCATTCAAATTATTGTCAATTTAAAAATTATTCACTTATTCATGTATTTGTGTGTTACTTATACTACACTATCTTCTTAAAGGGATTTGAGACAGCTTATCATCTGTCAAATCATCTAAATTATAAAATTTCCCCATGTGATTTCTAAGTGCATGCTTTTTTCTTTTTCAGGCTAACATACGAAAGAAGGAGCAACAGATTTATACTTAACTGCAGCCTACAAAGATCTATACAGCCTTACATTGCTTCCATTTTTAATAATTCTAACAGTTCAGTAAGACAAATGTGCTTGATTTTAATAATCAATTGTTCATTGAATCAAAAAACATTTGTTGCTTTTTATGTGCAAGTGTTAGGCAACTAATTTACTGAAACTTGGTTTAATAGTTTGGTTCAATAAATTGTTTTTTAAAGAAGATTATTAGGTTTATAGGCATATATGGCTTTATTTAATTTAATGAATGCCTGCAAAATTACAAACTCTTTATTCACACTTAGTAGTAGCTTTGTCACTATTCAACAATACAACAAGATAATCTTTAGCTGTGGACTTAAAAATAAAATGCATTCTGGCCGGGCACAGTGGCTCACACCTGTAATCCCAGCTCTTTTGGGAGGCCAAGGCAGGTAGATACACTCAGGAGTTCGAGGCCAGGCTAGCCAACATGGTGAAACCCTGTCTCTACTAAAAATACAAAAGTTAGCTGGGCCTGGTGGTGGGTGCCTGTAATCTCAGCTGCTCAGGAGGCTGAGGCAGGACAATTGCTTGAACCTGGTAGGTGGAGGTTGCAGTGAGCCGAGATCACGCCATTGCACTCCAGCCTGAATGACAAAAGCAAAACTCCATCTCAAAAAAACAAAAAAACAAAATAAAATGCATTCTTACACACATAATAAACACAGTATTTGTAGGCATCATTACTGACAAATGTTAAGTTACTACAATGCAAACCAGGCACTCTAGATCTGGGTACTGAAAGCCATTTAATGTGTGGGTTTTCTTTCATTGAGAGCTTTCTTTCACTTTGTCTCTCATAGAATCCTCACTTTTGGTTCTTCCTATATTTTCTTTCCCCACTCCCTCCCTCTGGTTCTATAGGGAAGGGCGTGTTGCCAAGGTACTGAACCATTTTGCTGGACCCTAAGAAGGAAATGAGGATGTTTCAGTGTTTCCAACTCTAAGATAGTGGTTCAATGGGTAGTTTGGTGGATGGTGCTATCCCACAGATTTCTAATACTGGAGAAGGAAAGGTAATTTTCTTGGAGGCACTTCTTGGGATCAATGGGAGAAGTGATGACAGAATACAATTATTTTTAGTTGATCACCTGGAGACTATCTATTTAGCCACATTATTCAAGTCTGGAGTGTATCTGTACTCAACTATTGTGTTAAGAACAGTACAAATAAACAACTTCGGCACAGTATCCTATCCCACCCAAATATACTTCATGTCGAGATTTATGTTTCACTTAAGCAAATTTTAATGGTAGGAAGCTTCAGAAAAGGGGAAGAGGGAACTTAGTGAAAAATATTACAGACTGATAGTGTTGAAGGAAGCTAACCTAGAATTTAAAAAATCCTTAGAGAATCTATGAAATAGAGACTCTTGATGGAGATAACTAGTTTCTTTTAAACTCTCATTTGTGACTATTAAATGTCTACTTTTCCATTTATAAAATGTTCCCTATATTAAGAGTTTTTATACTGAAGCAATTTTACTAGGTTCATTTGCATACGCATACTTAAAGCTCAGTTTCAAGGTATCAGTGACCTCCTCCTTGGAAAGCTAACACTGATTGGCCTAGAGTACATAGTTTCAGGCCTTTACCATGACATGCATGGACCTCCATAACGTGGCACACTCTTACTGAGCTCTCTCCCTTTTTAATTCCACACCAATTACCTTGAACTTTGGTTAGTTGCCTATTTCACCAAGCATTTTTAATGTAATTCCTTGCTGGTAACGCCTAGCTAGGCAATCTTGATTTAATTTTCCATGAGCTTATACATTCTTCAAGAAAGAGCCCAAGTTTCCTCCAGAAATACTTCTCTGAAATCCACCCACTGTGCTTTCACAGCATACTGTGCTTGTTTGATTTAAATTTCACACCGAGACCATCTGCTTATATACCCATATCTCCTACTAAACCTCAAGATAAGGAAAGGCAAGGACCATGTCTTACTTATTTTTGGTATCCCTTGAACCTAACATGAGCCTAACACATTGCCTGAGACATATTAGCAGCTCAATCAACATTAATTGAATTGAACAGTATGCGAAAGGGAAGATGCAATATGAAATCAGTTAAAAAAGGGAAGTGGAACTACGGGTATTTTTTATTATTAACATTTTCCTTTAAAAGGAGGATTTAAAACTCCTATTCTTCTAGTCATTTGCATATTTATTCTTTTAACAAGTATATACCAAGTGTCCATGTATTAGAGCCTATATTAGATGAGGAATATGATGGCCCCTAAATTTTAAAAAATACTCAGAAAATACAAAATGTAATAGGACATCAACGGATATAACAGATATCCATGTGATACATAAAGGATATCAATTCAAATTTTCAAAGCATACATGCTTGGCTATTACTACAGATAAGTCAGTTGAAACATCAAATGAAAGCAGTTAAGTCAGTTCAAAGAGTCTTCAGAAAAAATAATAACATTTAACCACAGGATGTGGTCAATCTCCTGTCAGACCACAAATAGTCACCAGCTGCAGATAAGTCTATGATTAGAAATGTTTTCAGCCAGCACCACAGTGTATTGGTTTGTGAAAGAGAACAGGCAAGGTAGGGGGTTGGTGATTAGAAGTGAAGCTGGGTGGCCATGATCCTATAAATTTACCCATTACAACAAATTAAAGAGGGCTTATTCAAAGGGCTGTACAATACCTCTCTATTTTGGCTGCCAAATGCTTAGAAGAGTTACTTTCACGCAGAAGTCAAAAAAAAGGCTGGCCATGGTGGCTCACGCCTGTAATCCCAGCACTTTGGGAGGCCAAGGCGGGTGGATCAGTTGAGGCCAGGAGTTCAAGAACAGCCTGGCCCACATGGTGAAACCCCGTCTCTACCAAAAATACAAAAATCAGCTGGGCGTGGTGGTGCATGCCGGTAATCCCAGCTACTCAGGAGGTTGAGGTAGGAGAATCGCTCGACCCCGGGAGGCAGAGGTTGCAGTGAGCCGAGATCATGCCACTGCACTCCAGCCTGGGAGACACAGTGAGACTCTGTCTCAAAAAAAAAAAAAAAAGAAGTCACACAAAAAAAACGAATAATTGAACACACGTGTGCAAGATAAGATGCCATAGATCATAATCTTTGCCACCCAGATGACAGAATCACCTTAATTTGAGGTTTAAATCACTTTTGGGAATGTTGAAACATGGAGAAAAGACAGAAAACTAGGATAAATTCACTTTCCTGGCCTTTTCTGAACTCAACAGTCTGCTTTCCTACAGAATAGAAAAAAAATTAGTAGAGGCTATTAATGAGTTCAGAGTTTAGATGCACTTTTGGAAGATTTTGTGGTGTTATTTGATATTCTAAAATAACAATCAGAATTTCTACATATTTTCATCATTGTAAAATGTTTTACTTTCTATTATTTATTCTGTGAAGTTATTATTTTTTCTTTTCAATATTATCTTCAGTTGCCACTAAGAATAGGAGAGTTTCATGCTAAAGGGGGAAGGCTGAAGAGAAGAAACGTCTCTCCCTTTTTCACAATGGAAAGTAGCAAAAGAGACTGTTTTCTGACTGTGAATCAGCTTAGTAATACTGGTCCAGTTCAAAGAGCAGGAATCCCCTTCTTTTAAAAACCATGTATCTTCCTAAAGCTCTGAATGTTCAATTCTTTGTACTTTTGCAATATATGTGTAGAGTTCAGTCATTTTTAAAAGTCCAATTTACCTTTTGAAGATGAAACATAAGTTTTCTCCTCTACTGCTCTCACCTATGCCCAAATCATTGTCATTTTTTTTCTTTGACTCCTCCAATATCCATTTTCCTCCACTTCCATTCTGCCCTCCTATAATCCCTTGCCACACTGCAGCAAGAGAGAGCTTTGTATAATGAAATCGGATTATTTCATATTTCCGATCTTTAAATCTTCCAACACCTTTCTAGAACACACAGCATAATATCTAAATTCCTCTTTCTGGCCTACAAGGCCTTTGAGCTCTGGCCCACACCTATCTCATGTATTATTTCATATCCTTGCACCCTAGGACTTGGGATGTTTCATGCCACACTGGCCTTTGTTCTGCTCCTCATTGAAGCCACATTTTCTCAGGGCTGTACCCATTGTTCACACTGAGTGGAATATCTACTCACAGATCTTCTCAACATTTAGGTTCTTCTCCTGAAACATCATAGCAACCATTCCCGATCACCCTCTAAATCAGCCATCAGCCCCTAGTTACGCACCAAATATCACCCTGTTTTCTTCATAGCACTAGAACTAAAATGATTTGCTGGGTTTCTTTGGTCATTTACTCATTATCCATCCCCTCCTCCTTCAACTACTACAATGTCAGTTCTGTCTTGTCCATTACTGTATTCCAGGACTTGGCAGAGTATATGCATATAGCAGGCATGCAATAAACGTCTACTGACTGAATTACTTAAAAAAAATCAGATGCACTAACACTGAGATCAAACAACCAAAAAAGCAGACTAGAGTCAAGCCGTGAACATTATACATGTTCAGACCCCAAACATAACAACTGAGATCTTTTTTTTCTTTTCTTTTCCTTTTTTTTTTTTTTTTTGAGATGGAGTCTCGCTCTGTCACCCAGGCTGTAGCACAGTGGTGCAATCTTGGCTCACTGTAACCTCTGCCTCCTGGGTTCAAGCAATTCTCCTGCCTCAGCCTACCCAGTAGCTGGGATTACAGGCACCCGCCACCAAGCCTGGCTAATTTTTGTATTTTCAGTAGAGACGGGGTTTCACCATGTTGCCCAGGCTGCTCTCGATCTCCTGACCTCAGCTGATCTGCCTGCCGCAGCCTCCCAAAGTGCAGGGATTACAGGTGTGAGCCACTGCACCCGGCCAGCTGAGATCTTTTGATCTGACATCTATGATCCTGTTATACAGGGGGAAATCTTAGATCCCCACATAAAATTTTACATTTCTAAGCTTTATAATTCTTATAAAACTATATAAAATAGTCTGATTTTTCAGGTATCTCAAAGCAAATATGGATGAAATTTGAAATTGGTTAAAATGACAAGCATGGAAGTTAGTCACCTTATGTTAGAACAACTGTCTTTGATACTTAGCTATTTAGCTGTGTGACTCAGAAGAATAACTTAACTTCTCTGAACTTCAGTGTCCTAATCTATAAAATGGCTAAAACAAGTATCTAATAGTATTGATGTAAAATTAAAGAGCTAAAATAGTTGAAGAACATAACAGTGTCAGGTACACACTAGGTACCCAATAAACATTAGTTATAATTATTATTGCTTCAAAACAACGAGTCCTCCTTGGTTAATATACTGCAACCACATAACTAGACATCATTTTACCAGGTATTAGGTTTATTTACTTAGGAGAAGTAATTAACAATAGCTTGATACTTAAACCATAAGATTTATTAATAAAATCTGTCCACAGTGTATGTTCAGGGGTCTCTAGTTATTTTTTTATGGAAAAGTGATGTTTTTAAAATTGTGGCAAAATACACACACGATGAAATTTACTCCTTAAAAAATTCTTAAGGGCACAATTCAGTGGCATTAACCATAATGTTGTGTGACCATTTTCAGAACTCCTGGTCATTCCAAACAGAACTCTGTACCCCAAAACTATCCATTCCCCCTCTCCTCCAGCACCTGGTAACTGTCACTCTACTGTCTTTCCCTATGAATTTGCCTATTCTAATTATTTCATATAAGTGGAACCATTCAATATTTGTGCTTTTGGGTCTAGCTTATTTCTCTTAGCCTAATGTTTTCAAGGTTCATCCATGTTGTGGCATGTGTCAGAATTTCATTACATTTTTAAGCTGTGTAATATTGCATCGTATGTACAGGCTACAATTTGTTTATGCATTTATCTGTTGATGGACATTTGTGTTGTTTCCACCTTTTGGCTATTTTGAATAATGCTGCTATAAACATTGTTAAGTATCTGTTTGAGTCCCTGCTTTCAATTCTTTTTGGTATATACTGAGAAGTTAAATTGCTAGATCATACGGTAATTCTATGTTTAACTGTGCAAGGAATCACAAAACTTTTTTACACAGCTGCTGTGCCATTTTACATTCCCACCAGCAACCTACATGAGTTCCAACTTCTCTATATCCTGGCCAACACTTGTTACTTTCCATCTTTTGTTTGTTTGTTTGTTTTGTTTTTATAATAGTCACTTTAGTGGGTGTGAAGTACTATTTCACGGTGGTTTGATGTGTATTTCTCTAATGATGAGTAATGTTGAGTGTCTTTCTATGGGCTTATTGGTCATTTGTATATCTTCTTTGAAGAAATGTTTATTCAAGCCTTTTACTCATTTTTTAATTGCTTTTTTGTTGTTGTTAAGTTACAGAAGTTCTTTATATATTCCGGATATTAACCCCTTACTAGATGTATAATTTGCAAATATTTTCTCCTATTCTATAGGTTATCTTTTCATTAATTTTTCTTTTTGTAGAGACAGGGTCTTGCTATGTTTCCCAGGCTGGTCTCAAACTCCTGACCTCAAGTGATTCTCCCACCTCTGCCTCCCAAAGTGCTGTGATTAGAGGCCTGAGCCACTGTGCCTAGCCCATATTTTTACTCTCTTGATTGTGTCCTTTGATGCATAAAAGGTTTTTAATTTTGATGAGGTTCAATGTATCTATTTTTTCTTTTGTTGCTTGTGCTTTTGTGTCATATCCAAAAAAATTGTTGGCAAATCCAATGTCATGAAAGTTTTTCTCCTACATGTTCTTCTAAGAGTTTCATAGCTTTAGCTCTTACATTTAGGTCTTTGATCCATTTTAAGTTTTGCATATGGTGTAAGGTAAGGGTCCAACTTTTAAATTTTGCATGGGATATCCAGTTTTGTTCTAATAATTCTGGTACAATGTAGGAAAATGGCTGAAAGGACCATGTACAACTTGTATATATCTATAGAGGTTAATTAAAAATGCATTCAAAGTTTCTTTTAAATAGAGAATATAAAACAAAACAATATACCTGTTACCAGATTTTTAAGTAATTAACTTCTAAATATCTCACACAAGAATTTGAGAGAATTGGCCAATATTTAATCTAAACCATTATCATACAAGATCTTCCCCAAAGGTCAGAATTCATGCAATTCTACCCTCTTAAGAATAATATCTCTACAAAAACATTAAATTGGCTTTTATGTTGTTGTAATTTAGAAAAATCCATTTGTAGCAAATATAAACATATGAGTCGATTCCTTTAGATTATAAGTATTTTACAGTGAAGCAAGTTTATTCTTGTTTTACTCTTTATGGTGAATATAATCGAGATGATTAAGAATATAGTTCTGCTAATAAACAAATTTAGTAAAGTTGCAGGATACAAAATCAGCATACAAAAATCAGTAGTATTTCAATATACTAACAACAGAGTATATGAAAAAAATCCAGAAAACAATCTAATTCACAATAACTACAAAAAGGAATAAATTTGAGCAAAGAGATGAAAGATATGTACATTGAATTCTATAAAACATTGATAAAAGAAATTGAAGACAACACAAATAAATGGAAATATATCCTCTGTTCATGGATTGGAAGAATTAATGTTGTTTAATTAAGTTCATACTAATGAAAGTGATCTACTGATTCTATGCAATCCCTACCAAAATTCTAACAGTATTTTTTTTCACAGAAATAGAAAAAACAATACTAAAATTTGTATGCAACCATGAAATACTAAAATGTGTATGGAACCTCAAACAGCTAGAGCAATCTTGAGCAAAGAGAACAAAGCTGAAAGCATCACACTATCTGATTTCAAATTCTATTACAAAGGTATAGTAATCAAAACAGCAGAGTTACTGGCATATTGTCAGATTCACAGACCAATAGAAGAGAACTGAGAGCCTAGAAACAAATACATACATTTATGGTCAACTAATTTTCAACAAAGATGCCAAGAATACATAAGGAGGAAAAAGAGAGTCTCTTCAGTAAGTGGTGCCAGAAAAACTGGATATTCACATGCAGAAGAATGAAATTAGACATTCATATTACACTACATATAAAAATCAACTCAAAATAGATTAAAGACTTAAATGTAAGATTTAAAACTGTAAAACTACTAGAAGAAAACACGGGGAGAAAGCTCCTTGACATAGGTCTGAGCAATGAATTTTTAAATATGACACCCAAAAGATCAGACAACAAAAGCAAAAATAGATGAGATTACATGAAACTTAAAAGCTTCTGCTCAAAAAAGGAAACAATCAACAGAGTGAAGAGACAACCTAGAGAATGAGAGAATATATTTGCAAACCATACATCTGATAATAGGTTAATACGCAAAATATATAAGAAACAAACAACTCAACAGTAAGAAAACAAATAACCTGATTAAAAAATGGACAAAGGACCTGAATAGACATTTGTCAACAGCAGACATACAAATGGCCAACAGGTGTATGAAAAAATGTTCAACATAACTAATCATCAGGAAAATGCAAATTAAGGCTACAATAAAATATCACTTCACACTTGTTAGAACAACTACTATCTAAAACACAAAAGATAAGTGGTGAGGATGTGGAGAAAAGGGAACCCTGGTACACTACTGGTGGGAATGTAAATTACTACAGCCATTATGGAAAATAGTGTGACAGTGCCTCAATAATTTAAAAAATAGAACTACCATATAATCCAGTAATTCCACTATGGGGTATATATTCAAAGGATATAAAATCAATACGTTGAAGAGATGTCTTCACTCCCATACTCACTGCAGCATTAACAATAGCCAAGAAATCAACCTAAGTGTCCATCAACAGATGTGTGGATAAAGATAATATGGCATATAAAGACAATGGAATACTATTCAGCCTTTAAAAAGAAGGGAATCTTGTTATTTGTAAAAACATGGATGGCCCTAGAGGATATTATGTTAAAAGAAAAAAGCCAGGCACAGAAAGATAAATACTGCATGATCTAACTTATAATGTGCAGTTTAAAAAAGTCAAACTCGGCTGGGCGCGGTGGCTCACGCCTGTAATCCCAGCACTTTGGGAGGCCGAGGCGGGTGGATCACCTGAGGTCAGGTGTTCAAGCCTAGCCTGGCCAACATGGCAAAACCCCATCTCTACTAAAAAATAAAAAAATTAGCTGGGCATGGTGGTAAGCACCTGTAATCCCAGCTACTGAGGAGGCTAAAAAATTTGTCTATAACTAGCTGTCTATCTGGGAGTCTAGTTATCTATCTGTATTATATTCTTTCAATGTGAGACACGAGTTTCATAAATTTAATTAACAGAATACAGACTGCACTAGAGAAGTGTGAAAACCAATTTGGAGACAATAAATTCAATTAACTCAAACAACATACTCTCGAAAAACTTCAAGAGCCAACATCAATCTTGTTTATGTAGAGAGACATGTTGGGCCTAATTCCTGAAAGATTATTTTACTTGAAGATGGGTAAAACCCTGCAACATGAAAACAGTTTTCATAAAAAAAAAAAGGAAGTGTTTCACTATTTGTTATTTTAAAAGAATAGGGTTGTGCTAAACTTCCAGAGTTGACACATTCTTCCTTTCTACAGGATACCTTACTAAACCAGACTAAACTGTTTAAATAGAACTCATTTACATAAGAATTGTGTTGATAAAAATGTTGAGGAAAGGGAAAAGTACCTAGAAACATATCATTAGCTGACAAGGATTGATTGACCTTCAATCATTATTTTACATTAAAAGCCCTCTGAGACTATTTATAAGATTTAAAAAATATGGTAAAAAGGGCCTAATCTCATACACAGGAAAGGATGCTTAAAGTATTTACTGGTGGCAATTTTAATTTGGTACACTGGAATGAAATTTTTATTTAAAAAAAAAAACCAAACACAAAGGACATGAACAGACACTTCTCAAAAGAAGACATACATGCAGCCAACAATTATATGAAAAAAAGCTCAATATCACTGATCAATAGAGAAATGCAAATCAAAACCACAATGAGATACCATCTCACACCAGTCAGAATGGCTATTATTAAAAAGTCAAAAAATAACAGATGCTGGGGAGATTGGGGAGAAAGAGAAACCCTTATGCGTTGTTGGTGGCAGTGTAAATTAGTTCAATCATTGTGGAAAGCAGTATGGTGTTTTCTCAAAGAGCTAAAAGCAGAACTACCATTCGACCCAGCAAAAGCAAATACATGGAATCAACCTAAATGCCCATCAATGACAGACTGGATAAAGAAAATGTGGTACATATACACCACGAAATATTATGCAGCCATAAAAAAGGACAAGATCATGTCTTTTGTGGGAACATGGATGGGGCTGGAGGTTACCATCCTTAGCAAACTAACACAGGAACAGAAAACTCAACACCACATATTCTCACTTATAAGTGAGAGCTAAAAGATATGAACTTATGAACACAAAGAAGGAAACAACAGATACTGGGGTCTACTTGAGGAAGGAGGGTGGGAGGAGGAAGCGGAGAAGAAAAATAACTATTGAGGACTGGACTTAATACATTAGTGATGTAATAGCGTGTACAACGAATCCCAGTGACACGTGTTTATCTATGTAACAAACCTTCAAATGTACCCCCAAACCTAAAATAAAAATGGAAAGAAAAACTCCAAACAACAAAACATGTGTTTTGTGTGTACACACATACATGCACATACACACACATACAATCTCTAAGTCACCAGATTTTATATCAAGAGCTGGGTTGTTTGTTGTTTGAGGTAATCTTTTAAAAATTAACTTATTCAGAAGCTACAATTATGTTTTGATTTTCCTGAGCATTTTAGTACTGATGCTCTCCTTTTGGGAACGAACATGACATGAAAGTTTTTAAAAAATCATCAACCATTTCTTCGACTAAACTCAGCCCACATGGCCTACTCTGGATATTCCAATAAAGCACACTAGGTCTGTTGACAGAATCTGCAGGTGAAGAGGCAAGGAAATACCAAAAACGTGGGTGCAACAGTTAATTGAATAATGAATCCAAGTATAACCTTCAGGCATTGTATAATAAGGCAACCAGAAGCCTCCAGATAACAAATAAAGAGGCTTTATAAAACTACTTCCATACATTTTCCAGTGCACACCTTGAACTGATGTAAATTCTCACTTACTATTTCCTCCTTCCCTCCTACCTAAAAGAAAGAAGGCTTCCTCCTTGAAGATCAAAGGCTTCATTTCCGATCTTAGTTTGTTCCTGCTCTTCAGAGCTTTACTCTTCAGTTCTCCCTGACTCCCCCACCTTTTGCCTGTGTTTTTACTATCTACTTCTTCACTGGCTTCTTCTCATCTGCCCATAAGTGAGAGTCTCTCATCAATATCCCTGTCTACCCTCATTCTCTCTCCACCTATTACTCTCTTACCTTTTAACTATCTTCAGTAGATGTCTCATGGACATTCTGAAGGCATTTCAGGGTACGCAAAATATATTCATTTTAATCTACATTCTTATATCACAACTCCTACCCGTGCACCAATCACGCTAAATCCTTAGCTCCACTTTCAGTTCCGTACTGTGGCATCCAGTGGTTTACCACCTTTTGCCACATTCTGTCTCCAAAATACTCCTGGACCTGATCCCCTCTTCTTCATTCCCTATCCCACAGAGTTCAGTGCTTCACCGTGTCTCACATAAATTACTAGACAGCCTCCTAATCAATCTCCCAATTCACCTCTCCTTTCTACAAATATATTCTTCACATTGCTGCCATGGTTATTGTTCAATGCAGTGCAATCAGGGCATTTCTCTGATTAAAAATATATTTGATTCCATAAATAGCATCTAAATAAATTATGAGGTTTTAGAGCTCAGAAAGGACTGTTGAAATAATCTATTTTAGCACAGAATAGTGGGATAATCTTTCCAAGGTCATCAGTCACGAAGGAAAAGGGCTAGTATTAGAACCCAAAAGCCTGATTCCTCACTGCATTTAGGCAAAGCTTATTTCCAAGTTTGAGTTTTGGTTTACAAACTGAGATACTTCTTTTTCACTTTTAATGCCATGCAATCATTAAATGTTCTTTTCAACCATATGTCTACATTATAAGGAAGCTGTGAAGCAAGATAAGCCTCAGCTCTTAGTTAGATTTTGACTAAAGTGCTTCACTGGACAGATCTTATTGAGAACAACATTTTTCTCTGTTGACGTCAGTGGAAAAATGCTAGGCATATTTGCCAACTCTCAGACTCTGTTAAATGTTACATATGTGTTCCAAATGGCTAGAGAACACATAAATGAAAACATTAATCCCATAGGCAGCAGACAGACACTGTCACTGCTGAATTTGAGAACTCCAGGAGGTCTTATAAGCCCAGTTTTACCAGGGTAAGTCTTCCTTTGTCAGCAGCATATGGTGAAATCAGTTGAAGAAAAAAAATGAACACAGCATCTGTGCACTCACTTCTTCAAGTTTTAACAGCCAATTAGGCTTTCTACAGTAATATTTATAGCTCCACAAAACTCAGGTAGTAAATGTAATCACTTTTCCCCTCTGGAGAATGTAGGCTGTTAAACTACAGAAGTGAGGGGGTTTATTCTACTCATTTGCTGTCTTAAGGAACTTAAAAAGAAGGGTAATTATTTATTTGAAGATTACCATCCACTCCATGGATAGAAAGACAATAGAAGAACTAATATTATGTGTCTGTATGATAAATTGCAGTGTTTTATGCAACAAAATGTAAAACAATTAAAGAAACACCTCATTCACTTGGTATCATTAGGGACAGGGCTATTTTCTTAAATTATTTTTCAAAATAACAAAAGCTCCTTTGAGCTCCAAAACTTTATTTAATTAATTTTGATGGCTACAACAAAATATACTTTAAATTTCTCTGAATTCTTAAATATGCAAAATATAATTTTCTTAAAGACCCCGGATCATAATTATGATTATACAATTCTGTGTTATGCAGTTTTTGGTGCTTAAGAACTACAGAGGTTAGTAGAAATATTTGGCCCCTCACCAAGTCCTGTCAAACCACAATGTTTTTGTAGCTCTAATTTCTTTGCTGTGCTTCATTTAAACCCTCAGTCAGTCAGCTCTTTATTCTTCTTGTTATTGCAATCAGTGTATCTATGTCTTTGTCTTTTTTGGTCTGTATTTCTCCCCTTTAATTTCCAGTTTCTAATTGCCTAAATGCTTGGACATTAGATTATAAAACCTGTTAAAATGCATGAAAGCGATGTGTTCTGATGAAGGGCCTGAGAGTCTTTGTGGAATAAAGTGCATGAGCCTCAGTGAATATATTTGTTGGCAAATATTTTAGTTATGTAAAGTTTTTTTTTGCTTACTGACTTCCTAGTAAGTAGGAATTTGAAGCATAAACTATATTGCTATTTTTTAAAAGAGAAGCCTCACATATTTTTTATAAGTATCTTCTAGCTAAAGTTAGAAAATACTCGGTCATCACTTATTAAGCTCTTTTAATATATATATTTAGACAGAGGTTCTCCCTCTTGTCACCCAGGCTGGAGTGCAGTGACAAGATCCCATAGCTCACTGCATCCTCAAACTCCTTGTCTCAAGCAATCCTCTCACCTCAGCCTCCTGAATAGATGGGACTACAGAAATGAGCTGCCACGCCTGGCCCCTGAAAATATTTTTTATTTTTGACATTAAAAAACACATAATAGACTGAAAATCTACATTCACAGATCTCCGATGTTTAGTCCCATTAACTTATTGGCACGTTTGCTTCTAATCTCCTTTACCAACCCCTCACCTTTTTAAACAGTCAGAATTACTTTAATGAAAATAAGATATTCTCAGTATAGAGACTTAAAACAATGAAGAATAGTATAAAAATGAAAGCAAAAAGAAGAAAAAGCTATCTTAAATCCAAAACAGAAATAATCATCAATATTAGAAGATCAAATCAGACAGTAATCTAGAAGAGTGTGTGTGTGTGCATGTGCCCACACACAAGTACACAGAAGGGTATACAGACGATAGAAACATACACATTAAAAAAACAAACTCGTATGATTATTAATCTTAATTTACTGAGCATTAAGTTTAACTCAATTTAAAATTAATAGAAAAAACAAAGTGAACCTTAAAAATACTTTTTAACTGCAGATGTATTTCTCAGAAGATCACTTTAAATTTTTTTTAAAAGAGAATTTTGAAAAAAAATTAAGAGGCTAGAATAATTTGTTAACTACATGTTTTAATTTAGACGGTACCAACTGACATCCTGCCTTCAACAAAAGATGAAGACATTAGCATTCTCATGCACCCTTCTAATTCCCCTCCCTCATTTCCCTATTTTTGTTAATTATAATTGTGAAACTGCCTAGATTTATACATTCACATTCTCTTGGTTTTCCTAATTCCCAGAATTGTTTAGTATTCATTTCATTTCAAAGAGGATTAAATGCTCATAGCCAATCGTTTTACCACAGGTTTTTCATTAATAAATTATTTACTTTCATTGATTTGTATTTTGTTTTTTGTTAGTTCTCCTTCCCCTCCCCCCAGGAAGAGTCCAATGAATTCTTTACTTTGGGGTTTTGGTTTTCACATTTGAGAATTTTTACTGCTGTGGTTTTCATTAGATAGCATCTTGCTGCCTGGATGCGTAAAGAATTCTTTCCATAATCTTAAAAGTTTATCAGCTTAACTAGAACATCTCTCAGATTCATGTTCTGATTCAAAATTTCCTGGAATATGTTGTGTTCTTTCGATATACAGATTCAATCTTTCTTCATTTTGTAAAAGTTCTCTTGAGTTACATATGTTGTTCCATATTTTGGGTTCTCTATTCAGGAACACCAATTACCCTTATGTTGAATTAGCTTTAGCTCTGTTCCATAGACATTAGATTCTCTAAAACTCTCCATTCTCCCCCTCCTTCATCCACATACACTATACTGATCATAAGTCTTCTCACTGTCACTAATTACATAATCAGTACTGTTTATCAAATGCCTTGTATTTTGTCTGTTACTAGTTCAATAATGATGTTAGCTTGGCCCTCGATTTGTTTTCTCACACATACGATATACCTTTTATTTTCTAGGCTTTGAGCTCACTCTTTATTGAATATGTGTCCTTAGTGAGTGGTTCTTTAATGTGACACAACTGTGAGATTTTCTTTGGCTCATTTGTGTTACAGTTTTTTCCTTTGGGCTCTTCGTATACTATTTTTTTTTTTTAGATCTAATAAGCTTGTATAATTATTTGCATAAATGTTGTGCCATGGCATATTTTTCCCCATGTTCCATGTGTTTGGACATTTCAGACAAGACTCTGTATTTGTCATGAAAGAGTGCACCTGATTTAAGTCTTTCCCTTCCATAAATAACATCATATGCTTTTCCACCACTATGAGCCACATATGGAATGCTAGGAGTTTCACAGTCCTACCATCCTTCTATAGCTTGAAAGACTGACAGGAGGAAGATGGTTGCAGAATCTGGCTGAGTATTGGTATTGTGTTTTTGTCAGAATACTTGAGCTCCACTCTAAAAGTCGTTTAAATTAGATGCTTTGTACCAGGGTTCAACCCACTTCATTGAAGAAAGATATTCTGTTCCCAAGGAACAGTATCTTAATATTTCGGATCATTTTCCCAGCAATGAAATGTCCATTCAATCCTGTCATAGTCAGCCCCTTTGTTCACATTTCCCCCTTTATTCAAGTATCCTGGGACTCTGTTTCTAATTCTTGTTGGCCAGAAGAGAAAAAGAAAAAGGACTCACTAAGAATGTCTCTCTACATATTTGGTTATTTGTGAGAATTGTCAGGATTGGGTCAACTCAGTTGTATAGCTCTAGAATTACAGAGTAGGTTAATGACCAAGCCACACTGTGCCACTCACTCTGTTCCATCTCGGAATTGTTTGTTTTTTATACTGGAGACAAGTTTTTCAAGTGTATTGCTTTAAGTTATCCCTCATTCCCTATTGGGTTCATATCAGTTCAAAATGAAAATGTTTCAGCTAGTTTTGCTCGTTTGGTAGGTATGGGGGAAAGTGTGCCATTGGATTTTATGTTACAGTTTAAATATGATATCTTAAACCAGAAATTTTACTCAAGTTTGTAAATAAGCAGTTTTTCACAGAGCTAAAGAGATAACTTTAACAATACATAGATGTAGCCAAAGCTCTTTCTTCTCATTTCTTCCCCTAAACACTTGCAAATTTTAAAAGTCATCGTAAGATTTTAACAGAGAAGGTTAAGAGTAAAAAAATCCACATCTAATGCAGTGAAGAGCAATTTGCAGAGGCATGTCCTGTCCTTTGGCAGAAAATAGCATTGAGCTACTGTCTGCTACCATTGCTACACAATCAAATTCTTCCATAAAACTGAGTATATCTGAAGAATGACAAACAATTAAAAAATATGCTACAAAATAAAAACTCCTTTCTTCAAAAACCAAAGACTATCTCTTAACTTTATAGAATAAATGGAAAAAGGCAAACTGTACAAATCAGGAGACAGCCTGAGTTATATGTACCAATCACTTACATTATCTGCTCTCCTAACACGGATATAACAAAAGGCCAGTTTAAAAACTATATTCCACTGACTGTTTTTGGAGACTAAGCTATGCAGAGGAATTTTTCTGTAAGCAGAAATGGCTAGACAGGTGCTATATTATAGTTGAGTCTTTGCTAAAATTGTTGCTTCTCATCCAGGTTTGGCTGCTCCTTCTCTCTGGAATTACAACACCAATTCTCAAAGTAACATGATGCTCTTCCTTTTACTTTTCCTTAAGCATGTTTCCCCTTAGCATGTGATATGGTTTGGATATTTGTTCTCATCAAATCTCATGTTGAAATGTGACCCCTACTGCTGTAGATGGGGCATAGTGGGAGGTGTTTGGGTCATGGGGGTGGATCCCTCATAAATGGCTTGGTGCCCTCTGCCCACTGCCCTGCCACAACAGTGACTGAGTTCTCACTCTATTAGTTCATAAAATAGCTGATTGTTAAAAGACCCTGGTACTTCTTCCCCTCTCTCTTGCTCCCTCTCTTGCCATGTGACACTGCCTGCTCTCCCTTCACCTTCCACTATGATTGGAAGCTTCCTGAATCCCTCACCAGAAGCAGATGCCAGCACTATGCTTCTTGTACAGTCTACAAAACTATGAGCCAAAATAAACCTTTTTTCTTTATAAATTATCCGGCCTCAGATATTCCTTTACAGCAATGCAAAACAGACTAACCCAGCATGCTTGAAAGAGCCTGACATTTTAAAACAGAGAACTTTATTAAAAACCAGAAAAAGAATTCTTGAAATATTTACTGAAAATACAGCCACTGTTTGAAAAAGTCAGCTTTCCAAATACAGGTTTCCCATCCCAAGACTTCCAGTTGACAGTACAGAAGAGTTTTTCTTCAACCAACAGTTCCATGTCCTACCCACATGTAAGGCCAAATTTGGCCTGCATGGCTACTTACATAACTATGTGGTTTCCTTTCCTCCTAGGTCCCAGATTTTACAATGAAAGATACTATCTCATTTTTTCTAAACAAAAGTGTAATCCCTCATTTATTTTATTCTATTTTAAAACCAAATACCATGACCTTATTAATGAAGCTCTTTCAAACTCTGACATACTTAACCAATTAAAAAGGCAAGAGAAAATGACATGTTTGATGTGCATGAATAACTTAACACTCCTCAGTTGGTTCATTAACTTTTGGGATATTCTGTTATGCCACAGTTGCTGAGTGTTCTCAAATACATAGTTTATACTCTCACATGAACATAAACAGAAATGGTTTTTCATATTGTATTCATTAAAGTGCTACAATATATCAACCTTTTAAATATAGCACAATGATAATGTTACACATTTAGTATTGATTTAGTACTGATTCAGTAAGATGTACCACATTTTCTTAACCGTAGATATAACTGTCTCTCTAGTTAGAAAAGATATTCAGAAAACTAACTAAAATCCAACAATTACCTTATGATTACTTCCTTAGCTGTAAAACATACATACTTCTTGTTGCATATACTCTTTGTTGTGATTAAGAGATCAGACTCAGAAGTAGGTCTGTTTGGTATCAAATTCAGGTGTAAAAACTTACTACCATAGAGCTACAGGTATCTATCTTAACTCATGAAGGCTTATTATCTGTAAAATCATGATAATAATGGCAACTACTTCATAAGATTATCAGGATTAAATGAAATAATGTATTCAGGGCTCTGAGTGCAATGAATACCACATATTTAAGCACTTAATTCAAGTTGGCTATAATTATTTTTAAAAGCTATACTATAGTATTCAGAAGAAGTGACCTTTCTGTTTTTTTAAATATATCAGTCATCAGAAATGGAATGTGGGGTAGGGTGGGGGGAGGGAGAATATTAGAAAAAATAGCTAATGCATGCTGGGCTTAATACCTAGGTGATGGGTTGATAGGTGCAGCAAACCACTATGGTACACGTCCACCTATGTAACAAACTTGCACATCCTGCACATGTGCCCCAGCACTAAAAATAAAAACAAAAATAAAAATGCAGTGTGAAAGTAGAGGTAAAATAATTTTCTCACAAACAGAATAATTTTATTAATATAAGGAGGTAGAATCAATAATTGTTATTCTATTTGACCTTTTCTATACCTAAATAACTGAGAAGGAAGAAAAAAAGAAAGACTGGCTGGGTGCGGTGGCTCACACCTGTAATCCCAGCACTTTGGGAGGCCGAGGCGGGTGGATCACCTGAGGTCAGGAGTTCGAGACCAGCCTGACCAACATGGAGAAAGCGTGTCTCTACTAAAAATACAAAATTAGCCAAGTGTGGTGGCACATGCCTCTAATCCCAGCTACGTGGGAGGCTGAGGCAGGAGATTCACTTGAACCCGGGAGGCGGAGGTTGCGGTGAGCCAAGATCTTCCCATTGCACTCCAGCCTGGCCAATGAGAGCAAAACTTTCTCATAAAAAAAAAAAAAAAAAAAAGAAAAGAAAAGAAAAGAAAAAGACCAGGCTATGTGTTAACTTAGTCCTTAGAAGGTATTTGATTTTTTTTTTCTTTAAAAGGTCTGAAATTTTCAGGTGAAAACTGAGCTCACAGAAATAACCCAGACTTCCGTAAGATTATGTTCTTCCTTCCCACTACTACAGCCTTCTACTCCTTCTACTTTAGGAATTAAAGTGGTGGTGCTAGCAAAACATTGATATTTGCCTGTGATTTGGGATTAAGAACATTAAATGTCATTGGGTAATTTTCCTGTCTTTTCATGAAAACTAGAACTCACACCAGCTATATTAAGTAAAAGTAGATCTGTAGGGGAAAGTCAGATAATTCAATTATAAGTTCAGCTAGGCCTCTGGGAAACTAGAATATCATCAAGGTACTATGCTCATCTCCCTTTCCATGACGAGAAAGGGACGCTGGCTCAATGATTCTCTGTCTGCCTGCTCAATTCTCCTTCCTTCTGATTGGCTTCTTTTGCATAACTCATTTTTGCAGCTCCTCATAACTCTCACTTAACCATGGCTTTTGGAGAGCATATTTTGACTCTGGCCGCAAATCTCCAAGACTTTAGAATTTTGGTCTGTCTTGGTTTCACATCCAGGTTGACCAGTTAGATGTTTACATTTGATCCAATAAATTGTCTAGGTCAGAATCATGTGACATGTAGGGTGGCCCACCCACATAGGGTGTGCGTAGGATTTATTCTCCATGAATAGGATAGGGGTAGGAAGGAAATTTATATATAAACCATAAGACAAATAAAAGCATTTAAATCTAGGACACACGTTTCTATTTAGCAGAGCTGTCTCTTTAACCTGAATTTATTGAGGTACAATTTACATATAGCAAAATCCACTCTTTTTGGTGTATAGTTCTGAGTTTCGACAAACACATATCGTCGTGTAACCATCATGTGATCAAGTCAAAGTATGTTTCTATCATTAACTCATATCTAAAAATTCTGAAAAATGTACACCTTAAGTATCCCTCCTTTTACCTTAAAGAAGCGAGCTGATAAGCTGCTCTTACTGAGGAACTTTCCTTTTTAAAAAATTTGCCTTTAAGAGGTAACAGAAACATTATATATATTGATACTGAGACCTGAGTATTTTTACTCATGGCCTATTTCAGGCTGTTATTTAAATAAATATTAAAGGGACTTCTTTAAGCTAGAACTTCATGAAACATGTAATGTATAAGGGCTCAGGTGAAGCATCTCTGTACAGTATATACAGTAGACACTTATTGTTATAAGCTTTAGACAGTATCTGAATTTAGACCACAGCTTGCCGATAAATGGACACTCTCCCATGGCATTCTGCCAGTGGAGGGGTGGAAATGCTTGGGAGATAAACAAAGGTCACAGCTTTATTTAACACCGTCACACACCAAATCGGAAGATAGGCATTCCCTATTGGGGCAGAGACAGTCTGTCCTCCCGTGACTGCTCAGCTCTTCAGTGGAGTCAAATCCTGCCTTTAAAAGGTGGGGCTCACCAAGTGGCCTAAAACAGGTCTCATCTTTCATCAAGGGCTTCTAATTTTAAATTGCTGCCATGCTAAATTTTATCTTGAGTGTTGCCCTCAGTCTCCACCCAGTTTGCTGAGATGTACCACTGGTTTTAAACAAGAATTTTCCAGGGTTTTGAATTCCAATGTGCATTATTTAGCAAATACCCTTCATAGGGCACAAAAAATGCAAGTTGATTAAGAATTTGAATAAAAGCCTCATTTATGAGCATTGGATGTATTTCATGTGGTATACTGAAGCTAACCTACAAAAATATCAATCTCTACTGATACCGCTCTCTGCAATAACAGAATCCACTAAGAAGAGATTAAAAACAAAACCAATCATTTCCCAGGATAAAAGGTTAAAGTTCCAATTTAAACAATACTTAGAAATACACTGTAGCAGCCTTATGAGTTGCAACTTGGACTCAACTGGTAAAAATGGGTAATTATCACATGCTATGAAACTCAACTCCTCCAAAATACGAGGGAGCAGGATTCCTCTGGATAACTTTGCCCAGAAACAACATATCTCTAGTAATGCTGCCAGCAGGAAAATTTAGCTGATAATTGCTGTTTAAAGCACTTATGGTTTGAAATGGGACCCCTTAAAAATAAAATTTCTAGTTTAACTTATATACAGTTACCCTTATAAAAGACAAGGGTACAGATAGAATGTACTTACTGAAGTTATTTAATTCTTTCATATTACACACACATGTAATTTTTTTTTCTGTTATGGAATTCAGCATCTTTCATGTAGATTAACATCACCTGCATGTGCATTTTATTCCCATTGTGGACTAAGGTACTAGTGTCTCAGTGTTCAGTGCAGACAGATTGAAATGCCTGAGTGAAGGCCACCATGTACTGCAGCCTTTAGTCTGCCTTTACAGATCAGAAAAACCTAAACCAGTCTTCCATAAAGCTTAATCATTGGCTGGGGTATGGAGAAATCTGATTCTTGCATTTACATTATAAAACCCCAACATAATATAAGACTATGCCTGGGTATCTCAAGTTATTTCTAGCAGTCTTTCCATTGTCAGTAAAAGGTGTTTCTTATCTACAGAATGTGGGCCAAGAGTCACTGCACTGAGTGGACGTGAATTCTGGGATCTCATGTTTTCAGCATTAGGATTAGGTTGTACAAGAACCTATGGGGAGTAGAATGTGGGAGATGGAGATTGACCTCAAAGTGTGAGAGCTCTTGGGGTGATTACCATAAGCAAAAATAAAAAAGGGATAATTAAGTGAGTCCAAACGGTTTCAAAGCCCGAAGGCTGTGTGAGTTGTAGAATGTGAAGCATGGGAGCTGGAGATGTTCCTGAGCTTCTCTCTTCACCCCGATGATGAGGAGAGAAAACACAGGACAGCCAGGCCTTCTTGGTTTATGCAGGAAGAAGAGAGGTTTCTTGGAAGGCTTTGGGGTAGCTCACAAAACAAAAGGTAGGCCTGAGGAAGCAGGCTCAGCAATCATGAACCAGAGAGGCTTCCTGGTTTCAGGTGGTGGGAACAGATGTGTCTCTCCACCAGTCAGTTCACTTCTATTTTCAGTCCGTAAGTTATTTGGCTCAGGTTACAAATTCCAGAGAAGGGGGTGTACCTCACAAGCTTAGTTCAGGTTTTATGCTCACCCCTTAGATAAGGGAGAAAAAGATAGCTGGGGCAGACCCAGCAGGCTACATATAATGAGGAAATGTTGGTCTTGCAGTTAAATTGTGGTGGTTTCCAAAAGAACACAATAGCTAAGCAACAAAAATAAAAGATATTAATGATGCCTATCTTTTATCTTAAGAAAAAAAAAGTTTTCTGGTTCTTTACGTATTTCTGCCTAAAGACCCATTAAAAACTGAAGGGCTCACTCATATTCACAGATCCCTGCTGAAGCTGGGAACCAGAGGGCTGAGTCACTCTCCCCTGCTGTTTATCCGGGTCCCACACCAGCTTGCTGTCCTTTCTCATCATCTCACTTTGGGCCAAATGTAACTAGAGACTTCTCAGCTTATTTTTAGTAGCTGGTAGAGAAACATAATGTGTTCAATTCCTTAATTAATAGTCTCCACAATTTTTCCACTAGAGGAGAGGAGACAAAACAGGTTAACATATTTATCTCTGTGCATTAAATTATCTATAGGTAAAATAAGACCAGGTATCATTTGAATTTCAAATTCAGGCAAGAGTAATTGATTAATTAATTAACAAAAAAGACAATATTTCATATAATCAACGTGAGGAATTTCAGATTTGCAGTTGAACCTCTAAAGTGATTTTTTTCCCTAGACTTCACTCGTTGTCCTTCCCCAGCCTCATGTGTGTGCACGGACACAAACATACATACATACACACATATACATGTGTGTATATATGCACACACATATTTGTATACACATGTATTTTGTATACACAGGGTAATTCACAGATGTTATCTGATTTCATAAAATTGTGTGTGCTACTTTATACATCTTTATCCTTTTTAACCTTTTGAATCAGAAAGGCATATGGTCAGAGGAAAACTCAGTTTCTCTGATAATGACTGAATTAAATATGCAATCTTACAGTGTAGATTAGTATACAGTATAGTATAGATTAGTATATAGTATAGATTAGTATATATATAGTATAGGTTAGTGTATATATAGATTAGTATATCATATAGTATAGATAGTATATAGTACAGTATATAGTATAGTATAGATTAGTATATAGAACTTTGTGCCAAAAAATAAAAGCACTTTTTAAAAATGCAGTTCCAGTTTTGTAAAGATAACTTAAGTATTGCATCCAGTATTAAACTGGAAGTAATTGTGTTTAAGAAAAGAGCTTTAATTGGCATGTATATGCCTTGTTGCTATTCACCTAGACTACCCACTTTTGGCCACATTGTTTCCTTTCCTTCAAAGGAAATTTTGCTCCTGGCTTGAATCCTGGCTGCCTCTTCTTTCTGTCTGACTGTAGTGGACCTATGCGGTTTTTTAATTTGTTTTTTGTTTCACTTTTTTTGCTTTAGTAAACTACTCTCCTACTCTTGGTCCATGTGTCCTGTACTGGTTTGACAACCACCTGTTTCCAGCTCCACAAGCTAGCATGTAATTCCCTTGGTGAGAGTAATTGGTTCAAGGATGAACTATACAACTCAATTTTCATAGAGTTGTTGGAATTAACTGGCAAAAGGCTATCTTTGCAATAACACTTGTTGCTGTAAGAATGATGTAAGCCTGGAACTGCTGGAGGTCACCATATTGGATAAATGTGCCTGGCAATAAAGTAGAAAAGAGGACCTGAGACCAGCTGAATTTGGGCCACCATTGAGCAACATTTGAAACCAGGTCAACTCACAGATTTTTCTCAATTATTTGAGGAAATAAGTTAACTTTTTGGCCAAAGCTATTTTGGATTGCTGCCCCTTGCAATATAAAGAGTCCTGAAGAATGCACTAATTTTTACATGTTATTGTCAACCACTTTTCAGCAAAACACCCCCAAATCAATCCATGTGATTCTAGCTACAAAGGTTTTGTTCACACTTCTTTTCTCAATAGAACAACCTAGGTTGTGAGGCTCAGCTCAATTCTGTTACTAAAACACCTTCTGATCATGCTTTGGTCCAAATAGAACCAGCTCTCACAAACCTAGGCTTTATCTCTTTATTTAAGAAACAAACCCACTCCAGTACTACTGATTGAGAGCTTATAACATCCAGAAGCTTACAGAAAAGCCTCTATCTATGAATATTCGCTGGTTATAGTAATAAAGAGACAAAATTGGTGGTCCGTTAGCTCCATGTTCAGGGCATGCAGGTAAAAGAACAGGGTCATGGAACAAGGAAGGGATACAAAAAACAGTTTGAATAAAAAATAAGACTTCAGAAAGTCTCTTGTTAACTTTTGTTTTAAGGAAAGAGATAAAAACAAACCATTCAAAACTAAATGCAAGCACATAATACCCCATCATCTAAGTTCTGCTAAAGAGTAAATATAAAGCAATATTTTACAGTTGTTCATAGCACTATTTTCAGTGTCAGGCAAATCTAAGTTTAAATCCTAGCACAGCCACTTACTCTGTGACCTTAGGTAAAGCAAATAAACTCTCCTCCCTCAATTTCATCTGTAAAGAAGAATTAGAATAATACTATATACCTTATGGAGTTACTGTCAATGAGACAATGTGTATATGCTTGTCAGTTTGAGAAGGAGGAGTTCATGGTAAGTGCTTAACAAATGTTCACTCTTATTAAGGCCAGACATTCTTTTACAAAATCAAAATGACTTTCAAGTAATTTCACATGCTGATAAAGGCAATTCAGTAACATGCGCCTGAGGCAAATTTCATTTGTGACTATGGCTTTTTACTCTTAGGTCTTATTCACATAGTTAGGTTTTTCAGCAGAGACAACATCCCAGTCTCTAAAACTCTCTTTCACACCGTAACACTCAAAAGGAAGAGCAGGGTCTTTATTCTTAATTATTTTTTGCTTTCTTTAGGAAGAGATTATCTGAACAACTAAAGAGAACTGAAGGATTGAGGTTGCTTTGAGAAATAGTTTCATTGAGAAATAGTTAATATTGAAACACAAAGTTACAGAAACAATGCTTTAAATCTAAGTGTATATGGAAAGTGTTCTTCCTTCTCCAGACTATTAGTAACAGTCAGTTATAAAGTTTTTCCAAACTCTGGGCCTAAATTTTAAAGGTCTAAATATTGCAATTCCTATGGCATGAGGCTGTCTATCATCAGTACACGCTAGTCATAGTCCCCAAGTGTTTTGGGTTTCACAATTATCAGCTAAGCATACCCTTCGAAAAAGTCTGTATCATCAATAATACTAGGAAAAGAAGCCAAATATGATGATGATGTCATCCAGATCAGTAGGTTTCTTTGTTCAAGCAAGAGCAGGCAGAAAATATTTCTTTCTGCCCATGAAAATGCCCCATTTGGGTCAACATTTCTGGAAAGGGTTGAATAGTTTTCAGATTCCAAAATAAGAGATTAAAAAAGCAAACAAAAGAGTCTTTCTTTCCAGAGACTCCATTGAAGAATGCAACCACTGAGAAAATATATTAATCCATGTATATACGTTGCATGTTTCAGTCTTGGCACCTTGTGGGTTTGAGAAAGAAAATGACAGGAAAGACTTCAATTGCTTAAATAATTATAGCCATTAGTATCAGGCTCCCCGGGTAATTGAATATCCTACTTTACTTGCTGGCTAAAAATAAGTAGCCAAATGTTTCTAAGAAAAAGACAAGGTAAATGGTACATACTGATACTTCAAATCATTAAGCATCATAATAATAAAGAAAAATCATATTTCAATTTAAGTACATCATAAATACCATGTGAGACAACACTGCCTCTATTTAGACCATACAGGCATAACTATTTTCATTTCTTAAAACGTATCATGATGTCTCATTTTGCTCAAAAGCAGATACTTGGCTAAACCAAATCTCTAGTTTTAGTACTGACCAAAAATCAATTTCTATGATTCTGAGCATACTAATTAACTATTACTTAGGCAATAGTTGGCACTGAGGCACCATTATGTAACCAAAGTAGCAAGTAGATGAAAGAAAACCTAAAACATTCACTTACAACTCTTTAAACCCTTTGCAAAACAATGCTATATTCTTCCCAGAAGTTTTCTCATGTGCTCTTCTGCAAAAGTATTTATTGAACATCTGTTATGTGCTCTAGACACTGGGGATAATAGTGATCAAAAGAGAAAAAAGTCCCTGCACTAATGGAGCTTACGTCATAGTTGGTAATATAGAAAATTAACCAGATAAATTAATTCATGGTAGTTTAATAGTGGTGTCAAAAAAGAAAAAAAAAAAAAGCCAAGGAAGGAATTAAGAAAAGTTGGTGAAGAAAGCAGATCAACTTTTAGATTGGTGGGCAGGGAAGGCCTCTGTGAGCCAAGCTCTGAGAGGAGAGCTGGGGAGACCATGCAGGTTTCTGGGAGAGGAACACTCAGGGCCAAGGAAAGAGGAAGTGCAAATACCTTGAGCTGCAATATGCCTAGCATGTCCCAGGCTGTGAGGTAGGCAGTGTGGCTGGGGCTGAGTGGGTCAGAAGGAGAGCAGTAGGCAATGTGGCAATGGAGTGTTTTGAGCAGAGGAGTGGCATGCTCTTGGAATTTGATAGGAACTCTCTGGCTACTGTGTTGAGAGAAGACTATATGAAGGTGAGGGTAGAAAGAGGAAAACTAGTTGGGACACTTTTACAGTGATCCAGCAAGCGATGATAATGGTTTTGGCCAAGGGGGTGCTGTGGAGATTCAAGATATATTCAAGTTCTGACAGATTCAAGTTCTGAATATATTAGATTCAAGAAGTGCAAATGTCTTGAAGTTGAGATATGCCTAGCATGCACCAGGCTATGAGTAAGGCAGTATGGCTGGAGCGGAGTGAAATATATTCAGTTTCTGAATGTATTTTGAATCTAATAGGAGTTGCTGATGAGTCAAATATGGTAAGTAAGAGAAGGGCGCAATGAGTCAATAATTACTCTAAGGTTTTTGGACTGTGAGCCTGAAAAAGACGGAGTTGCCACTAAGAGGAGTAACTTTGACCTTAGAGAGATGAGGAGAACTGTTTTAGATATCTTAAATTTGAGATGCCAATTAGACATGCAAGTAGAGATAGTGAGTAGGCAACAGAATGCGCAAGTCTGGAGTTTGGGTAGAGGTCTGAGTAGCAGTTGTAAATTTGGATATCATTAGCTTATAGATGGAATAATTTAAAGCCATGATACTGGATGAGATTCTTAAGAAGCAAGTATAAGCAGAGAATGCATGATGCCCAAGGACCAAGCCCTTGTACTCCTACGTTTAAATGTCTGGGAGATGAGGAAGAACCCGCAAAGAAGATACAAAAGGGTGGAAGGAAATTACCTCTATGGTATGGCCAAATTACCTCTATGATATTTTGAATATATGCATGTTAATAAGGTTAAATGAATATTCAAAAGACTTAAAATATCTTGAAGAGAGGCACAAAATCCTACTCATTTTGGGCTTCAGGGACCAGCACTGTACCAGCTACATAAAAAAACACTAAATGTATCTGTTGAATGAATAAGTGAATGGATAAATGAATGTAGAATCTTAAACATTCACTTTGGCTCAATGAATATTTATTGAGCATTTTCTAGTTCCAGAAACTGAGCAAGACACTGAGAAAACAAATATAGATAGAGATCTATCTGATAGGGAAGACAGACAGGTTAACTTGATAGTATATTGGTTTAATTTCTTGCTAAGAGAAACATCAGGCAATTAAATGGAAATATATCAGACACAGAAGAAAAAAGTATGTTATTTAGGAGAATGACAGAACTCCTTTAAAGAAAATTCTAAAATCTGATTCCCCATCCTCCCTTTTAACAAGAAATATAAGAAATTACAGTGAAAGTCAATGGATAATCATGATTCAAGATAGTCAATTTCCTATGCATAAAACTTTTCATTAACACGTCTATCACTACACGAGAACAGCAAAGAAGAAAGATGAACAAGATCATAAATTATAATTTTCTTCCAGTTCTACTTTGAAAGCTTTTTTTGAGGCTCCAATAAAAGTTCTGGTTAATTTTAGATTACTAATTTGTAATTCAAAACTTATAAACTTCAAAAGCATTTATGAAAAATCTAATTAATATTTCTCTTTCATATATTCTTTAAAACAAAAGTAACATCTTACTTAAAATAACTGGGACAGAATAACTCTACTCAGTTAGATCTTTGCCCTCACTACCTCACAGAACTGACACATATCACACAATATGACTGTATATTAGGTAAAATACATGTATACATCAAGAATGAATATATTAAATTTCAGCTGATGTATGCTCAATAATTGCTTCTACTTTTTGACTTATTTAAAATGTGAAATAATAAGTCAACATTAAACAACTAATAAGTCAACAATTCAACAGATGTTTGTTGAGTGCCTGGTATGTTTTAGTGCTGTTTACATCCTTGCTTTAGTTAGTAAAGGGAAGGAAGGTCTTCTCTCAAAATCTGCTTGTTTGTCAAGTCACATAGCTTCCTGGGACCTATTGCCATTATCTTTCCTATTTTAGAAGTTTTACTTATTTTATTCACGTAGTCAAAATTCAAAAAAAAAAAGGGAATAAGTACCTATTTCTGAGTCTGCTAAATGTCTATTAACACAATGTCATTGCATTAACTGTTGTCAATGACACAGCTATCAGCTAGTCAAACCATCATGAGAGATAAAATCTTCTTTTCTCTAATCAGATTATTGTAGTTATTTAGAAATGAAATGTTCTAAATAGAAGGCTTCAATAGAAGAGGTTCAGATCCAATTAATCATCATATCTATTACTTTTACCCCTTTAATTACTCTCTAAACTTTCCACTTTTATTCGCTCCCACTGCATTGCTCAGTTCCAAAAACTAGCATCTCTCACTAGGATGCCAATGTTCTCCAACTTGTAGCTAGAATGATTTCTCTAAATGTGTATCTCATCAGGTCACTCCCCTTAACTCTATTTTAAAAAATCAGGATCACATTTTAATGCAAGGATGGTAAAACTGGAAGTTGCTTTGGAAATTGCTCCCAGCTGGTTTCTTCAGTTCTCAGAGCCTTACCGTGCTCTCCTTTCACCCTTAAATGTAATAGCTCATCCACACTAACCTCTACATTTCTACAATTTTCCACGTCTGTCCCCTCTGGGCCTTTGCACATGTTGTTCTTCTTGGCATTGCAGGGAGGAGCTAGAATCTGTGACTAAGTAAATTCTACTCAATGTAGAGTCTTCTGTGTCTTCCCATTCCCCAGCTCATTAGACACCATTTCCTTCTGGGAGCTCACCTTGTCTTAGGGCTCACCACAGTTTATGGTTTCTTGTCTCTACTAGGTTGTAAGCTCTTTGTAGGCAGATATGTCTTATTCATGGGTTTACCTCTAGTACTTAGCAAAGTTCTTTGCATATAATTAGTACTTAATAAGTATTCATTGAATGAATGTATTATAATAGCAAATCTATTTACAGAGAATGTCTAAAGTACCAAAGCTGAGGGGGGTTGGTGGTTGTGGTTAACTGCAAGCCGACAGCAGAACCTGCCAAGTTTGGGTGTCTCAAGTAGAAGTGAAAAGTAAGCAGGGATTAAGTGGGAGTTGGGCTTCCTGTCTGCAAAGTCCAGGCTGGGAGATGAAATGGATGAGTGCATGGCAGAAAATATCATCACATACTGAAGAAGCTGACTGCTAAACTTAGCCTAACATGTTTTAAATTGTAACTTTTCCAGATTCTCTTTCATAGCAGAATGTCACTGACAGTCCACAGATATTGTCTCCAAAATGGCAATTAATACTGAATACAGCAATTCTAGCCTCTTTCAAGGAGAACCATCTGACCCAGAAGCTGAAAAGAATTTACTTAAGAAGGCACCAATTTAATAAGCATCCATGATTTTACATTTAATTAACTTTTTGAGAAAATTGTGCTTTCAAAATCTAGTTAAACAAAAGAGGTAGTAAATCTCTTTAATGCCTCAACATCAAATTCCAATGGAGTATGATTTTTTTTAAAGTTTCAGATTTTTTTTTCTGAGAAATATCAAACTGCTTTTATTATCCGTCTCGGCAACCTATAATATATAAGAAACAGATCAAACTAATAATCTTAAACATGTCTTAAAAATGTAAATTTCTAGTCTTGATTTCTGACCTCCAGCTAATGAATTATTATGCCTTGCTTGTATTTTCAAATCCAAACCATTTAGTAGTTTATAACTGGATTTTTATAAAATTTGACATTTTATTTATTTATTTATTTAAGACAGAGTCTCTTGCTCTACCCAGGCTGGAGTGCAGTGGCATGATCTCAGTTTACTGCAGCCTCTGCCTCCCGGGTTCCAGTGATTCTCCTGCCTCAGCCTCCCAAGTAGCTGGGATTACAGGTGTGTGCCACCATGCCTGGCAAATTTTTGTATTTTTAATAGAGATTGGGTTTCGCCATCTTGGCCAGGCTGGTCTCCAACTCCTGGCCTCAAGTGATCTGCCTACCCTGGCCTCCCAAAGTGCTGGGATTACAGGTATAAGCCACTGTGCCCAGCCTAAATTTAACATTTTAAATAAAGCATTATGAGGACTTTTGGTTTCCGGTATGGTGTGTAAGGAGCTTAAAAGTCCATCACTCTGTAATTAGAACAAGTAAAATACTGAACAAACTGACAAATTAACACTCTTCTTAGATCTGCCATAGAAGTGAGTTTACAGTGCAAACTGCTGCCCCTAAAATTGGAGAGTAAGACAGGTTAGGATAGAGTGTCACAATTTATCAGAGCAGAAATCCACGAGCAGAAACCTCCTCTGAACCATCATGAGGTAGGAAAACATAAACTTTTAACTGATGAATTGCTGAAGGATCAGTGTGGACAAGTCTGAAAGATAAAAACTTTAGGGGGACCTAATCTTAAGGGGATCCTCACACTTCTGTGAGTTTTACTTCCAAGAGTTGTATCAGAGCTTCACAGTGAATACCAGAGGAAAAATCTCTTTCTGCTTCTGGAAGAAGGAGGAGAAAAGAAACAACTTTGAAATATGGCAGAGAATGCTGTTTGTCTTAACAAGGTCTGCCCTCAGGAACAACTACTTTAGTAGAGCCCAACCTGCTGGGGTTTTATCAGAGTCTAACAAACCTAGGGAAATAGAAATCCCCAATTCTACCCAGCTGTACCCTTAAGCACCAGTGTAGATCACAGTCTAGAGGTACAGGCTTATGAAAAGACTGAGATCTAAATATAGGACTACAGAATGCTTCCTCTTTCCCCATAACTTACCACTATTATTATTGAAGGCTTATTTACCAGAGTTGTGCTTTTTTTTTTCCTAACCTAGTGTATTAGTCCATTCTCACATTGCTATAAAGAAAAACCTGAGACTGAGTAATTTATAGCAAGCTTAACTGGCTCTTCTTCAGGCTGCACAGGAAGTATGGCAGCATTTGCTTCTGGGGAGACCTCAGGGAGCTTTTACTCATGGCAGAAAGCAAAGCAGCAACAGGCACTTCACATGCTGAAAGCAGGAACAAGAGAGAGAAGGAGGAAGGCCACACACATTTAAATGAACAGATCTCAGGAGAACTCACTCCTTATCACGAGGACAGTACCAAGAGGATGGTGCTAAACCATTCGTGAGAAATCCAACCCCATGATCGAATCACCTCCCAGCAGGCCCCACCTCCAACACTGGGGATTACAATTCAACATGAGATCTGGTGGGGACACAGATCCAAACCATATCACCTAGTACATCATGCCCACCTTTCAATAAATAACAAGGCATACTAAAGGGCAAAAACACAGTTTGAAGAGACTGAAAAAGTTTCAGAACCAGAGTCAAATATGACAAATATGTGGGAATGATCAGACCAGACATTTTTTAAAACTGTGAATCATATATGAAGGGCTTTAATGGAAAAAATAAGATGCCATGCAAGAACAGGTGGATGATGTAAACAGAGAGATGAATATTCTAAGAAAGAATCCAATAGAAATGCTAGCTTGACCATCAAAAGCACTATACCAGAAAAATGGAGAATGTCTTTGATAGGCTCATTAGTAGACTAGACAGGGCTGAGAAAAGAATCTCTAAGCCTGAAGATATGACAATAGAAAAAACTTCTAAAACTGAAGAGCAAAGGAAGAAAAAGACTGATAAAAAAGAAAGCAAAGAATATCCAAGACAACTTAGATTGTGGGACGATGACAAAAAGTGTAAATATGTGTAATTTGTGTAATGGGAATAGTGGAAGGAGAAGAAAGAGAGAAAGAAATAGTAACAACATTTGAAGCAATAATGACTGATAACTTCCTGAATAATTATTGTGAGACAGCAATAACAGTTTGACAGTTTCCTCAGATCCAGGAAACTCAGAGAACACAAGGTATGATAAATACTAAAAAACAATCCCTAGGCATACCACATTCAAACATCAGAAAAACAAAGAAAAAGAAAAAACAAAGAAAAAATCTTTACAAAGATTCTCAGAAACTAGGCAAGAAGAAGAGTGTGGAATGAAACAAAGTGTTAAGAAGAAAACAAAACCAAAAAACCCTAGAATTCTATATTCTGTGAGATTATCCTTCAAATGTGAGAAAATAAATACTTTCTCAGACAAACAAAAAGAAACTGTAGACCTGTCTTGCAAGAAATGTTTAAAACAAAGTTTTCAGGAGAAGAAAAATTACAAAGATTGGAAACTCAGATCTACAGCCAGAAAGAGAATCAAAGAAGGAATAAGTGAAGACAATAAAAACTATTTTTCATATTCTAAATTGATCTAATAGGTAACAGTTTGTCCAAAGTAATAATAGCAACAATTTATTCAATTATGTATGCTTGTGTGTGTGTGTGTGTGTGTGTGTGTGTGTGTGTACTTATGTATAAGTGAAATAAATAACAGCAGTGATACAAGGGACAGGAGAGAAGACTAACATTTTGTTATTATAAGATACCGATACTACCCATGAAGTAGTATAGGAGATATTGTGGGTTCAGTTCCACACCACCACAATAAAGCAAATATTACAATAAAATGAGTCACAGCTTTATTTCACAGTGCATATGAAGTTATGTTTGCACTATACCATGGTCTATTAAATGTGCAATAGCGTTATCTCTAAAAACAATGTGACATATCATAATTTTAAAATACTTTACTGCTAAATACGCTAATGATCATCTAAGACTTTAGTGAGCTGTAACCTTTTTACTGGTGGAGGTTCTCGCCTCAGTGTTGATGGTGCTGACTGATGGGGTGGTGGCTGCTGAAAGCTAGGGTGGCTGTCGTAGGTTCTTAAAATAAGGCAACAATTAAGTTTGCTGCATATTGATTGACTTTTTTTCAGGAAGTTTCTCTGTAGCATGTGATGCTGTTTGATAGCATTTTACCCATAGGAGAACTTCTTTCAAAATTGGAGTCAATCCTCTCAAACCCTGCTGCTGTGTTATCAATTAACTTTATGTAATATTCTAAATCCTTTGTTGTCATTCAACAATGTTCACAGTATTTTCACTAGGAGTAGATTCCATCTCAAGATACCACTTTATTTGCTCATTCATAAGAAGCAACTCCTCATTCATGGAAGTTTTATGCTGAGATTACATCAATGCAGTCACATCTGCAGATTACACTTCCAGTTATAGTCTTCATGCTATTTTCACATCTGCAGTTATATCTTCCACTGGAAGCTTCAAACATCTCAAAATCATCCATGAGAGATGGAATCAACTTCTTCCAAACTCCTGTTAATGTTGTTATTTTTACCTCCTGCCATGAATAAGTAATGTTCTTAAATGGCATCTAGAATGGTAAATCCTTTCCAGAAGGCTGTCAATTTACTTTGCTCAGATCAATCAGAGGAATGACTATCTAAGGCAGCTATCGCCTTACAAAATGTGTTAATAATAATACTTAAAAGATAATATGACTCATTGACCCAGAGGTTGCAGAATGGATGTTGGGTTCGTAGGCATGAAAACAACAATCATCTCTTTGTACATCTCCGTCAGAGCTCTTGGGCAACTAGGTCAATTGTCGGTGTGCAGTAATATTTGAAAGAAATCATTTTTCTTCCCCCCCAGGCAGTAGATCTCAATGCCAGGCTTAAAATATTCAGTAAACCATGATGTAAACAGATGTGCTGTCGTCTCGGCTTTGTTGTTATATTTATTGAGTACAGGCAGAGTAGATTTAGCATCTATCTTAAGGGTCCTAGAATTTTTTTTTTTTTTTTTGAGATGGAGCCTCGCTCTGTCGCCTAGGCTGGAGTGCAGTGGCATGATCTCAGCTCACTGCAATCTCAGCCTCCCGGGTTCACGCCATTCTCCTGCCTCAGCCTCCTGAGTAGCTGGCATTACAGGTGCTCACCACCAGGCTGGCTAATTTGTTGTATTTTTAGTAGAGACGGGGTTTCACCGTGTTAGCCAGGATGGTCTCCATCTCCTGACCTGGTGATCTGCCCATCTCGGCCTCCCAAAGTGCTGGGATTACAGGCATGAGCCACCGCGCCTGGCCGGGTCCTAAAATTTTTGGAATGGTCAATGAGCATTCATGTCTTCTTAAAGTCATCATATGCATTAATCCCTCATGAGAAAGTTAACCTGTTCTTGAAAGCTGTCCTTTAAAACTTCTTGTCTCAAGCTATGAAAGTCCCAGATGGCATCTTCCTCCAATAGAAGATTGTTCCATCTACATTGAAAATCTGTTTTTAGTGCACAAACCTTCATCACTTATCTTAGCTAGATCTTCTGGATAAGTTACTGCAGCTTCTCCATCAGCTCTTGCTGCTTCACACTGCGCTTTTTTGTTATGGACATGGCTTCCTTCCTTAAACCTCAAGAAACAACCTCTGCTAGCTTTCCTCTATTCTTCTGCAGCTTTCTCACCCCTCTCAGCCTTCAAACAATTGAAGAAAGTTAGGGCTTTGTTCTGGATTAGGCTTTGGCTTAAGGAAATGTTATAACTGGTTTGATCACCTATATGGACCAATAAAGCTTTCTCCATATTAGCAATAAGGCTGTTTTGCTGTCTTATCATCTGTTTGCTAAATGGAATAGCACTTGCAATTTCCTTCAAGAACTTTTCCTTTGCATTCACAACTCAGCTAACTGGCGCACAGGTCTAGCTTTCAGCATATCTCTGCTTTTGATATCCCTTCCTCACTAACCTTAATTCTTTCTAGGTTTTGATTTAAAATGAGAGATGTGTGACTCTTCCTTTCACTTGAGCACTTAGAGGCCAGTGAAAAGTTATTTATTGGTTTAATTTCAATATCTTTGTGTCTCAGGGAATAGGAAGGCCTGAGGAAAGGGAAAGAATGGGGGAATGGCCAGTCAGTGGGGGCAGTCAGAACACACACAACTTTTCTACAGATTCAATGAAATCCCAATCAAAATCTCAGCAAGTTATTTTTTGATATATACTAACCAATTTTAAAGTTCATATGAAAAGAAAAAAGACCCAGAATAGCCAAGAGAATATTGATGGAAAAGAACAAAGATAGAAGACTGACACTACTCAACATTGAGACTTACCATAAAGCTACAGCAATCAGACACTGTGCTATTGGCAAAAGAACAAACAAAGAGATCAACGGTACAGAACAGATCTTTGAGTATAGAAATACACTCTCATAAGTACAATCAACTGATCTTTGATAAAAGAGCAAAGGCAATACACTGGAAAAAACATTCTTTAATAAATGGTGCTGAAACAACTGAAAACTCACATTAAAAAAAAATGAATGCAGACACAGACCTTACACCTTTCCCCAAAACTAACTCAAAATAGATCACACACCTATGTTTTATGTAAAACACAAAACTCTAAAACTTCCCAGAAAACAAAGGAGAATATTTAGATGATCTTGGGTATGCTGATGACTTTTTAGATATAAGACCAAACACATAATCCATGAAAGAAACAAATTGATAAGCTTAAAAACTTAAACTTAAAAACTTCCACTCTGCAAATGACACTGTTGAGAGGATAAGAAAAGCTGCAGACTGAAAGAAAATATATCCAAAACACACACCGGATAAAGCTTCTGTTATCCAAAATATACAAATAACTCTTTTTTGTCCATTTGTTTGTTTTGAGATGGAGTGTCACTCTGTCACCCAGGCTGGAGTATAATGGCTTGCAGTATCTTGGCTCACTGCAACCTCTGCCTCCTAGGTTCAAGCCTCTCAAGTAGCTGGGATTACAAGCATGCACCACCATGCCCAGCTAATTTTTGTCTTTTTAGTAGAGATGGGGTTTCATCATGTTGGCCAGGCTGGTCTCAAATTCTTGACTCAAGTGATCTGCCTGCCTCAGCCTCTTGAAGTGCTAGGAATATACAAATCACCCTCAAAGCTTAACATGAAAATGAACAATCTAATAAAAAAATGGATGAAAAACCTGAAGAGATACCTCACCATAGAAGAATGCAGATGGTAAGCGAGCATATGAGATGATGTTAATCATTGTATGTCATTAGGAAATTTCAAATTGTAACAATGGAATATCACTACACACCTATTAAAAAGGCCAATATCAAGAACACTGACAACACCAAATGCTGGTGAGAATTCTTACAAAGGTAAAGCTATGGAGACAGTATGGAGCAACAGGAACTCTCATTCATTGCTGGTGTGAATGCAAAATGGTATAGCCACTTAAGAATACTGGCAGTGTTTTAGAAAACTAAATATACACTTACAACATGATTCATCAGCAGCACATTTAGGTATTTACCCAAATGAGTTGAAAACTTATGTCCATGCAAAAACCTATATATGGATGTTTATAGCAGCTTTATTCATAATTGCCAAAATTTGAAAGCAGTCAAGGTGTCTTTCATTGGGTAAGTCAATAAACTCTGGTACGTCCAGACAATGAAATATTATTCAACGACAAAAGGAAATAAGCTATAAGGCCATAAAAAATAAATAGAAGAAATCTAAATATGTACAGTTGATTCTTGAACAACATGAGGGGTAGAGTATCAACCCCCCAACAGTTGAAAACCCTTGTATAACTTTTGATTCCCCACAAATTTAACTACTAATAGCCTACTGTTGACTGGAAGCCTGAAGGATAACAGAGTTGATTAACACATATTTTGTATGTTACGTGTATTATATACTGTATTCTTAAAATAAAGTAAGTTAGAGAGAAGAAAATGTTACTAAGAAAATCCTAAGGAAGAGATAATAAATTTACACTCATTAAGTGAAAGTGGGTCATCATAAAGGTCTTATCCTCATCATCTTCACATTGAGAAGACTGAAGAGGAGGAGGAGGAAGAGGAGGAGGAGGAAGAGGAGAAGTTGGTCTTGCTGTCTCAGGAATGGCAAAGGTGGAGGAAAATCCACGTATAAGTGGACCTGTGCAGTTCAAACCCATGTTGTCCCAGGGCTGACTTTATTACTAAGTGAAAGAAATCAATCTAAAAGGTTATATACTGTATGATTCTAACTATATGATATTCTGGAAAAGGTAAAGCTATGGAGACAGTAAAAGATTAGTGGTTGCCAGAAGTTGGGGGTAAGGAGGACAGAACAGGCAGAAGACAGAAGATTTTTAGGGCAATGCAACTATTCTGTATGATCCTACAATTGTGGTTACAGAACGTCACACATTTTTAAAAACCCATACAATGTAAAACACCAAGAGTGAACCCTAGCATAAATTATGGACTCTAGGTGATAATCATGTACCAAAGTAGGTTTATACAGTAGTACAATGTACTATTATAACTAATGTACTAATGTTGTATGGGGATTTTGATAGTGTAGGAGGTGGTAAACTTGTAGAGATAAGGGTATATGGAAACTTTCTGTATTTCCACTCATTTTTGCTGTAAACTTAAAACTGATCTAAAATATAAAGTTTATTAGAAGTTTAAAAAGAATTGTCAAAGTTTCAAAAAATCCTATAGTCCACAATATTTTATCTAACTTCATGAAGATGAATTATAATAAATATGGGAGGTGATATAACACCAAGAAATCCAGATCTGTATTAAAAAGGGCAATAATAATAATAATTACCATTTTTATTTTAAATTGAGACAGGGTCTCGCTCTGTCAACTAGGAAGCAGTGGCATAATCTTGTCTCACTGCAGCCTTGATGAACCGGGCTCAAGTGATCCTCTCACCTCAGCCTCTCAAGTAGCTGGGACTACAGGTGCATACCACCACACCAGCTACTTTGTAAAAATGTTTTTGTAGAGATGAGGTCTCACTATGTTGCCCAGGCTGATCTTTAAGTCCTAGGCTTAAGCAATCCTCCTTCCCCGGCCTCCTGAAGTGCTGAGGTTACAAGCATGAGCCACAGAATTAATGTGATGGTATAGATATGTTAAGAAGAAATCCTTATTCTCATCAAAGAATAAAAATTACTAAAGCAAAGAAACAAAATAGAAATAGGCCCTCTGGAATTTATGACAATTATCCCTGAAAAAAATTCTGATATCAAATAGTATTTATCACGAAGAACCTACCTCCTTCTGTAGGTTGTAACTAAAGAGTCTTTAGGAGACAAGTTTATATCTTATCCCACACAAACTGAAAGTTTTCACGAACATAAAGGAAACATGATACGTGGGTAGAAGGATTTAATTTGCCACTGTGGAGCACCATAATAGAGAGAAGTTAATCGTGTATTTTGCCTTCCACTCAGAATAGAATCAAAAGTATATGACAAAGCATCCCTTTCTATTAAAAGGACAGAATGTCATGAGCATTTAAAGTGTTCTTCCTTAAAAAATATAACAAAATCATTAATTGTTTTATTAATTTTTCAATAAAAGGAACACGATCCGGATATGCCCTTTCATGAGGAAAAAAAAAACCACTAAAATTGTTAGTATACGTACTGGAAAACCAGTATTTTTCCCACATGAGACATACTAAAATTCTAGATTCATTGGTTTTCACTATAATGAACATTAAATTTCATTTTAAAATAGCCCAGATGTTTTGATTCAAACAAAATTCCATTTTCTAAAAACAAACAAGAAATTTAGTATAGTTATAGCATCAGGGTTTGCTATTTAAAATATAATGCATTTTATGTAGATTAACTGTTTATTCTTTTTTTTTTTTTTTTTTTTTTTTTTTCATTTTTTAAGTCAGGTTCTTGCTCTGTCACCTAGAGTGCAGTGGCGTGATCACAGCTCACTGCAGCCTGGAACTTCTGGGCTCAAGTGATTTTCCGCCTCAGCCACCCTAGCAGCTAGGACTACATGCAAGTGCCATCACCACAGACTGATTTTTAAAACTTTTTTGTAGACAAAGAGTCTTGCTATGTTGCCCAGGCTGGTCTCGAACTCCTGGGCTTAAGCGATCTCCTGTCTCAGCCTCCCAAAGCACTTGTGATTAGAGGTGTGGACCACTGTGCCCAGCCTCCTTCTTAAATACAAATGATGATCTTGAAACAAAATTTGTAGACTCAGCTATGTTCTATAAAGTATTTTCAAAGGGATTACACTATTTTAGTTCTTTTTTTTTTTATTTCTCCCAACACCTTACTTCAGTGACTTCTAACTGGGCTAAGCTATCTCTAAACTAAGTCCATTTTTGCTTGAAGCTGTCTACACAGAACAATATCGTGGCAAACGTTGTATTGTACTGTAATTACTAATTTTTTTTTTGGTCTCTTGAACAAGTATTCACTCAACAAACACATAATACGGATTTTCTCTGACATACAGTTCCTGAAATAAATGTCATTAATGAAGGGTAACAAAATATGTCACTCCAAAGTATGCCACTTGTAAAAATTATTTTTTGCTGAAGGCAATTGTGAAGAAGCAGATACAGATAAAGCTCTTTGCTTTCCCTCTGTCTGCCTAAAAGCATGACATAAATTTGTAGAGTTTTCTCTCCTGCCCTCTCTCCAGGGAAGGCAGAAGTTAGTGACAACCTAGAGCCTGAGCCTGGAGACTGCACCAGAGGAATCCGCATAAGAAACTTTACTACAACCAGCCATTATCTGCCATTAATTATCCTCATCTATTTACCTTCATACAATTTGCTGTTCCTATAGACTCAAAGTCCTCTTCCTTTGTTTTGTCTCTTCTCTAAGAATTTATTGTTCTTTTAAGATGATATATAAGCTGAAGTTCTAACCACCCTTTTGAGTTACTCATCTCTGAGTGCTTCCATGTGAACGTATTATACACAGTTTAATAAACGTCTGTTTGTTTGTTTTTTCCTTAATCTTTCTCCTGTCAGTCTAATTTGCGGGGTCCCAGCCGATAAACCTAAAACGGGTAGAGGGAAAACAATTTTTCAAGCCAACACATATGTTCAGGTGACTGCCCATGTTAAAGCCTTATTTACCATTAGCCCTAGAAATGAACTTGATCTGTGATCTGCCTTATCTGCTTAAGGCTGAAGTCTCTGCCTGAAGGCCTCTCCCTTGGGGACTACAATCTAGCTCCACTTCTCTTATCTTTCGGTAAATTCACATCTCTATAAACTTAGCCCTCCTTGTTCTCCAGAGCCGCTGAGGTGTGCCTAGAAACCATGCTAGGCACAAACCCTGGAAAGGATTATTTGAAAAAAATCAGGGCAGTTCATTATTTGCTGTAAAGATGACTTTGCGTTATTTTATTTTATTTTATTTTATTATTATACTTTCAGTTTTAGGGTACATGTGCACAATGTGCAGGTTAGTTACATATGTATACATGTGCCATGTTGGTGTGCTGCACCCATTAACTCGTCATTTAGCATTAGGTATATCTCCTAAAGCTATCCCTCCCCCCTCCCCCCTCCCCCCACCCCACAACAGTCCCCAGAGTGTGATGTTCCCCTTCCTGATGAGTTCATGTCCTTTGTAGGGACATGGATAAAATTGGAAATCATCATTCTCAGTAAACTATCGCAAGAACAAAAAACCAAACACCGCATATTCTCACTCATAGGTGGGAATTGAACAATGAGAACACATGGATACAGGAAGGGGATGACTTTGCTTTCATAAAAGCCTTTCCCATTCATTCCTGAGTCTATGTGCAAAAGAGACTACTAATGCCTTATTGTTAAAAATGGCTAGATAACTGAATAAAAATATATAAATTTAAAATAGCAAGAAATATATATATTTCTTGTTATTATATATGTTTCTTGCTATTATATTTCTTTATATATATCTTTCTATATATTTCTTGCTATTTTATATATATATATATATATATATATATATTTAAAACAGTAAGAAGAGGCTGGGCATGGTAGCTCACACCTGAGCACTTGGGGAGGCTGAGGAGGGAGGATAGCTTGAGACCGGAAGTTTGAGACCAGCCTGGGCAACATAGCAAGACCCCATCTCTATAATAAAATAAAATTTAAAAAGAAAAAAAAAGAAGAAAATTTTTTCATAGAACTCATGTTCTTTGTTTTGATTTTTTAGAAAGTAAAAATCATTTCATTAGAAGAAGACTCAATGCACCTATAAAAATAGAACTTCCATTAGATTCTGAATAGCTAACATTCCACAGGAAATATGTACAAGCACCACACTGCCAAAACTATCATCAAAAGGAGGAACACAAGGAACATTCCTTCTTTGGGAATTCAAGTAGTTATTTTATCTCGGAACTCATTGGGTAAGTGGCTCTAATTTTCCATGAGAGTATTTCATTGATATCTTTAAGATATCAATGTATATTTCTTAACTATATTTAAAATGTGCATTTTTCTAAAGCTGCTTACTTTTCCTTTTCATAGATTATTGCTGCAATGATCACGTAATTTTGAGAAATTAGACACTTATATCTGTTATGCTCTCTTTTCAGTCATTGAAAATGCATACTTTTAACCATTGTTTTTCAATTTTTCTAATGCTTTATTGGATTGTGTTTAGTTTATTAATCTCATTTACTGGTAGATCATTTTCAGGATAACTGCTGATAATGCTCCTCTTAAACTTTAAATACTAAAGAATAATTGCAAGAATTTGAGCCCTTCATTCTAGAGGCAGAAGTTCAGTTGCCTGTTGCAGCATATTTCAAATTACTATGGTTTGTATGTAAACTTTTACCTTCTTCACTTTGGTTTCAAAGACATTAATAACCCAAACAAATACCATTGCTAAAGACATAATCCACTTTAGTTAAAAATCTTATTCTGTTTCCATGTGAACTGCTTTCTTTATGTTCTTCACCAAATATTATGCTGAATTTCTAAAAAATGATACAAGAAAAAATAAACTGTGTGATTCTCATCATGCCCTTAATTTAATAAGGAATACAGAAGCTATAAATTTTAAAATATAGATATAAATAATTTGATGACTGTGGAAAACTGGCATAGTAGAAGGTTTTGACCTAACACTGAAGTGCTTCTTGCAGCAGAAGGAGATCAAAATATATCACGCCCAAATATGCCACTTTGGCATAAGGATTATTTTGAGCTAAAGCTAAGTGAGAATCAACAGATATAGAGAGAATTATCTGCCCTCCCTTATCTGCCTAAAAGCAGGGAATAAATTTCCCTTTAAGGAAGATGCTCTCTTTCCCCAACACCAGTGAGAAAGATTGACTCATCACAGAAGACAGGGAGTCGACAGCAGATGAGTTTGCAGAAACAGATCTTACTAAAATAGCCCTTATCTTCCATTAGCTCCTTCATATATTTACTAGTCACTTTTCCATAAGTCAATTCTCCATTATCTCTTGAAGCCCAAATTCTTTTAAGGGTATAAAAGCCTGAGCCTAACTGCTTCTTTGAGTTTCACTTCTTTTCTGTGAACTCCCATGCACATAAATATTAATACAAATTATATGCCTTGTCTCTTGTTAATCTCTCTCTTGTTTAATTCTCATGCCCCAGGCACTGAACCTAAAAGGACAGAAAAAAGTGTTTCCTCCCTGACCAAGCTGTGATCAAACTCACTTCAGAATGTTATTACTTAAGTAATGAGAACTCACAAAAGTGTTTTTTATTCCACCATTCATCATAGCATGAAGGACATATCTCAGTTTACAATACCATACCTTGATCTGCAAAACAAAGATCTGACAAATTAAATGTATTAAGAAATAACATGTCTGCTGCTTAAAAAATATGGTAGGTGTATTGCTCCCAGTAAATATAGAAAAAATAAAAATCCCTGCGTTCCAATAACCTCACCTAGCCATAAGGAACCACCACCCAGGCATGTCGGTGGAGGCTGTGGGGGGAACCTGGACTACAGCCCCCATCAGTCAGTAATAAGATGGCACCTGCTTACTCTGGTATGAGAGAAGGCCTGCTAAAGAACAGTTAGTGAAATCCAAAGTCTTATAAAATAATACCCCCAAATGTTCAGGATATAATCCAAAAATCACTCATCATATCAAGAACCAGGAAAATCTCAATTTGAATGAGAAGATAATCAACAGGCAGCAACACCAAGATAACAATGCTGTCAGAATTATCTGATACGGATTTTTAATCAGCCATAATAAAAAAATGCTTCAGAGAGCACTTATGAACACACTTGAAACAAACAAACAAAAGGGAATCTTGGCAAAGAAATAGAGGCTATAAAGAAGAAAAGGAAACTGCAGAAATGAAAAATATAACTGACATAAAAAACTCAATGGATGGGCCAGGCACAGTGGCTCATGCCTGTAATCCCAGCACTTAGGGAGGCAGAGGCAGGCAGATCACGAGGTCAGGAGTTGGAGACCAGCCTGACCAACATGGTGAAACCCCGTCTCTACTAAAAATACAAAAAAATTAGCCGGCATGGTGGCGCGCGCCTGTAATCCCAGCTACTCAGGAGGCTGATGCAGGAGAATCGCTTGAACCCAGGAGGCGGCGGTTGCAGTGAGCAGAGATCGCGCCACTGCACTCAAGCCTGAATCGCACCACTGCACTCCAGCCTGGGTGACAGAGTGAGACTCTGTCTCAGAAAAAAAAAAAAACAACAGAGGAAAGAATTAGACAATCAGACTTGAAGACAGAACAATAATAAATTACCCAAACTAAACAACAGAAAGACAACAGACTACGGGAAAACTACAACAAACAGAGCCTCAGGGACCTCTTAGACTCTAACAAAAGATCCAACACTCATGTCATCAGAGTTCCAAAAGGAAGGGAGAAAGAAGGTAGGGCTAAAAAGGTATTCAAAGAAACAATGTCCAAAAGTTTCCCAGGTTTGCCAAACAAAGATGGACCCATTCAGGAGGCTAAGTGAGCTCCAAATAAGTAAACTCCAAAAAATCCAAGCCAAGCAAGATACATCATAGACAAACCTAAAAACCAAAGACAACGAGAAAAAGAAACAAAAACCAAAAAATTTTAAAGCAGCCAGAGAGAACTAATACCTTATCTTTAGGGGAAAAACAATTAGAATGACAAAGATGTCTCATCAAAAATCAAGGAATCCAGAAGGAAGTGGCACAACATTGAAAGAACTCTCAACCTGGATTCTATATCTGGCAAAAATATCATTCAGGAATAAAGGGGAAATCGAGACAAGCTCAGAAAAAGGAATACTAACAATTTGTTGCTAGCATACCTATCCTAAAAGAATGGCTAAAGAAAGCTCAAGAAAAAAAAATCATAAAAGAAGGGACTCAAACATTGGAAAGGAAGAAAAAATAATGGAAAAAGTAAAAACAAGAGCTGAGAAAGGACTGAAGAGGAAGCACTACTAGAACAACATAGAGCCAGATGAAACTACGGCCACATGAGCAAGACATGGATGAACTGGGACTGTGGAGAGGAGCCTGTGCAGTAGGATTGTGCAGAAGTAGCGCTTTAGTCTCTATTCTAAATATGGCAGATATGCTTGGCTGCCTACCTGTCAGGCCTCTGAGCCCAAGCCTGCAGGTACGCATTAAGATGGTCTGGAGCAACTGAGGAACCGCAGGAGAGGTGAAAATAGCCAGGTCCTGCCTTGACTGATGACATTCCACCATTGTGATTTGTTCCTGCCCCACCGTAACCGATCAATTGACCCTGTGACATTCCTTCTCCTGGACAATGAGTATCAGAAGCTCCCCACCGAGCACCCTGTAATCCCTGTCCCCGCCCGCAAGAGAAAAATCCCCTTTGACTGTAATTTTCCACTACCCACCCAAATCCTATAAAACTGTCCCACCCCTATCTCCCTTTGCTGACTCCTTTTTTGGACTCAGTCCACCTGCACCCAGGTGACTAAAAAGCGTTACTGCTCACACAAAGCCTGTTTGGTGGTCTCTTCACATGGATGCGCATGACACTACCCAACAGATAAAACTCCCATTCTTTCTTAATAACAAAATCACAATTTAGTTCTGAACTGGGTATCACATGATTAAGAGGCCAGTTCCCTCACCAGATCTACAGACTAAATTATTATTTGTCAATGCCAGTTGTAATTTCATTCCCTTAACAAATACCTGGTTTAGTGTGGGCTTGAGAAGCAGTTCTAATTAAGGAATCTTGAACAGATATCTTCTGAGAGGCTCTTGAGAAAGACTTCTCCATGAATAAAAACTTATGCAATAGAATTTGGATTACCCTTTTTCTGCCTTTGGAAGTCACTGTGATAACTGAAAATGTGGTAGTCAATTTCAGACCATAGGGGAACTCAAACATGAAGACAAACCCACATAATACTAAAAACAGACAGATGGAAAGAACGTGGTTTCTTAATGATATCATTGAAGTACTGAATTAACCAAACCTAGTATTAACCTACCTTCAAACTCATATCATGTGAAATAATTTTTTAAATCTTTCCCAAAACTCTGTGGCATCAAATTAAAATGCTAGGCAGTAGTCCATTATATGAATATACTATAATTATGTAGCTATTTCTCTATAATTGGATCCTTAAGTTGGTTTCTTTCTTTTCTTTTCTCCCCCGTTATAAAGGATGATGCAATGAACATCTTTCAGCATAAAATTTTAACTGAATTTAGGGTATACTTTCCATGGACTTTGTTCTGAGGAGTAAAATTACTAAGTCAAATGATACAAACATTTTTTATTCCCTTTGATGAGCACAGTAGCACCAAATTGATTTCCAGAAAGTATGTTCTTATTAAACTCCTACCAACCATATGTGTGGCCTGTTTTACTATATCCCTGCCACTATATCCCTGCCAAGAGTCATTATTTTCCCTTCATTCTTGCTGACAGCGCCTCACTTTAAAAGTCTTGATTAGTTTAAATCAATTTTGGTAATCCAAGTTTCTTCCTTGAGTCTTCTTTTTACTTTAAGATAATAAATTATACATACTCTTAAAAATTAAATGGAAAATTTTGCTTATGTCAAACATTTTTGTGCTACAAGGTAGAATTGAGAACCACTCATGACATCACAACGGACAATGCAAAGAGAAATAACTATTTCACTTAGGTTAAGGTTAATTCAAATTAAGGTTAAATTAAATTGTAAATAAAACAATGCTGAGTAGTATCCTCTTTTCAAAAGAATTAGAGTTGAATGTTACTTGAACATTAAAAAATATTGTAGCAGTCAGTAATTTGGACTGTACAGTGAGAAAAATCATTAATTCAAAACGGTCCTCAATTAGATTGCAAAAATAATGAATACAGAGTATATACTTACAAATCAAACACCAAGTAGTGAAAGCCCTCTTCTGATATGCTATCATGAAGTCGCACTAGAAAAAAATAAGAGAAGAAAAATTGTGTTATACCTATTCCAACGATCAACGTTAAACCCCACTTCACATGGACATATGTCTCCTAGCTAGAAATGTTGGCATTACATTTTATTTTAGCCTTTGATACGTCCGTATCTTTTACAACATAGCTTGAGTTCAGATAGAACTAAGGTTTGGGTACTGGTTCTGAAAACTGGTAACTATGTGATCTTAAAAAAAAACTGCTTAACTTGTAATGATATTAGTACCTATGCTTTATAAAATGGTTGAGATTAAATGAGATAAAAATCCACAAATTTTGAGGTGAATACTAAACAAATGTTAAGGATCATTATAATATATATCCATATACTCAAAGTTACCAGGTTCTGGCAATTCTTTCACTTCCTTGCCACTCTCTTTGCTATCACCTTAGTCCAAGTCTTCACCAACTCATGCTTGGTCACTACAACAGACAGTAAGAGGAATGATTCCAAGTCTAGGAAATGGTTTCCCTGTGTTCTCCCTTTTGTCCAAGAAGTTCTAGGTGGCACTCCCTGGCCAACCTGGCAAAACACAGTTTTTGTTATGTTACTTATTTACTCAGGTCACCCAAATCCATTTACCAAGTCATTAGCCCAAAATGTACAGCTTGAACTTTTGCTAAAATAATTTACTAGTTTCTCAAATTAATGCCACTTTAAAATTTTCAATGAGCCAGACTTTAACTGATAACTCTAAACTAAATCACACATGTAGAACTACAAACCGCTGTATCTGCTATTTACTTGTTCATAAGCCCCACACCTTGTCCCAGTTATCCTTCATAGAGAGTGAATTCTTTTTTTTTTTGCTTATTTATTTTTATTTTTTACTTTTATTTTAGCTTCAGGTGTACATGTGCAGGTCTGCCACATAAGTAAACTCATGTCACGGGGGTTGATGTACAGATTATTTTGTCCCCCAGGTACCAAGCCTAGTACCCAATAGTTATTCTTTCTGCTCCTCTCCCTTTTCCCACCTTCCAACCTCTGGTAGCCCCAGTGAATTCTTCCTGTGTATCCAAATCACTTGAAGTGGTGGCTTGATCTTCACTGGGAGCAAAAGAAGGCAGGGAAAGCAACAAAGTTTTAGGACACAACTGCTTTTACAAAAGTCACCACAAAATAATAATGATTTTCTACTACAACCTGTTATGTTTCCCATGCACTGATGACCACCACATGGAAAATGTGAATTTATAAGAACATTCAGGTTATCACACAAACTAAAATTATTTATACAAGGAGACTGTAGTACTCATTCAATGCCCAGGCTCATAGACTTAACATAATCTCTGTGCTTTATCATCTAATTCCATCCCCTTTGGATCTCATTCCTGGCCTCCTATTAAAATATTTTCTGAATCCCTCTCTAGATAGATTATAGTTTGTAAAATATGAATTTTCTATTGTTATTAACATGAGGAGGAGGCCTATACTGTAGGTGACTGGGAATGCAGCCAACAGTTCAGTCTCAGACCCTCTACTTAGCTCTTGAGTGCATGAAATGTAAGCACACTGCAGTCCCCGCTGCCCTGCCACGCTTATCTTACTTGTCACAGTGCCACCCTTGAGGTCATTCATGCAGCATATTTTATCTTTATTTACTACCTTTAATACCTTTCCCTTCTTCAGTATATAGTCTCGTCACCAATACTGCCCAACAGGAACCATATTTTATAAGTCTTGCATCCCACACAGAGATCTGGCACATAGTAGATGGTCTTTCATCAAATTGTTTTTGAGCATTTACTATAGAAGGTTTTGGGATGGAAATTTTCACCAAAGATAGCTATATATATGTTATATATACACATAACACACACACACACACACACACACACACACAATGTATATAAATAAAATAAGAAGATGGCTACATAAGCAATTCTTCCATCACTTTAATGGTGTGAAAGGTATTCTTCACGTTGCCAATATCAGAGATGCCTGCTAGCCTTGCTTAAACTTATGCTGCTGAAGAATATAAAGAGTTTGGTTTGATGGTGCATCTTCTAATGATCATTTAGTACAATAAAGAAAGCTGGGCCATGGATGATAGCTCACTGGCTTCTTGAATGACACAGTTTCAGAGATATCTCACTTAGCAGCTATAATACAGTATGTATTCAAATGAACTTAAATAATGGCATGGCTTCTTAAAGAACTCATAACAATTATTCTGGAAAATAAGATGGGTTCCCATGTTATCAAAGTTAAACTGAAAAGTAAAGTCTACAATCTGACCAGGAGGAAATCACCATTACTTTCTTCCACTGTCTGAAGGTAAAAGCCTTAGGTGCAGGTGGGATCTCAGGTGTCCAGATCGAAGAGGTATACAGCTGAACAGAGGAGAATATTTCAGGTACAACTGGAGAAGTAGCAATAATTTCTGTCTATCCTGGGAATAACATTTTCTTAAAATTATTTCCATTCACTTATTAATACTAATTAATACTAAATATCATCATTCAGAAATCAATTATTTTTTGAACAAGTCAGGAGTTACTGTTCAGATGGAAACATGATAATCAAACACATGATACAAAAGCACTTAACCAGCTAACATGTGATAAGGGTTTGAGACAAATCATTCAGCCAAGTTTACTTCTTTTGCATCACACAATTCCAAAATAATCTCTAATATGTCTAACCAGCCATTTGACCATGCGAGATTATGAATAAATGTGTTATTCATATCACATATTCAGCATCATATTTACTTGGGATTAATATATACATATTTCCTTCCTTCCTTTATTCCTTCCTTCCTATGTCCCACCCTACTTCCTTCCACTCTCTTATTTTAAATAATGAACTGAAAAAACAGAATTATAAGAAATTGTCATGATTTTTACTTACTATATTAACAAAAGTAGATACTATAGTCTTCACAGAGACATTCCACATGTTCACAATTACTGTGAGGATGGGTTTGTTTCCTTTAAAAATGTTTAACTCTTCAACTATTATTCTCAGAGTTGATGGTATGTCTAAACGGTCTGGAAGATAGTGTTTTAGTTGTAGACATCATCTATTTCTCTTCAAGCCTTTTCTGTTGGTCAAAAGTATCCTTCATTTCCTATTCTTTTTTTCCTTTTTAACAGTTTCTCAAGGATTGAAAATCATGTTTACTTTTACAAAATGTTACATTAATTATTCCCTATAAATAACTGTCAATTCATTTTCACACCAAAGGAATAACACAACATTCTGTTCATCACAGCTGTTAGCTCAAGACTGACGGCATGGCTGGCCTTGACAGCACTGCAGATGCTGCATTTTGAAGCATACTGCACCTCGTTCTTTCTATGACTGCTCTGTTATTGCCATAAGCTGCACATATGAGTGGACGCAATTAGCCTAATTACAGTTGTCCCTATGACGTTTTTAGAGAGAAATTTTAAAAAAGAGAATGAGAAAAACATTTGAGAAAACAGGTTATAATACATTTTGGCAGTCATTCTTTTTGAAGTTTGCTCAAAGGTAAAATTACGTGTATGAATAAATGAATTTTCACAACCTGAAACAGCACAACAGTTCTCATCAAATTTTAAATTCTGGAACTTTAAGTATGGAATTTATAAGGGGGATAAAAGTGCTTCTGAGGCTAAAAATAGTTCCAAAGGTTAGCTGACCCATGGCCTAATTCTTTTCCTTTCTCTCCTGCATGTATTATCACATTTGAATGATTGCAGGATCGCTGCTTTCTCTTCCTGTTCTGTGTTCTTGCATTATTCCATTGCAGTTTCTAGCTAAATATTAGCTCCATAAAGAAGGGGTCAAATAGACCATGGTCCTTGTATGATCTGAGAAATTTTAATTAAATATGATAGAAGTTTTCTATTTAATTCCTCATTTCACTTAAGGGGTTAAAAGATATAATAAAACTTATGTTCTTACTGTCAGGCACAATGCAAATAATTTTTGCAAGAGTTATATTATTTAATATATGCAAGCACCACAAGGACATTTTGCCATAAGCTTTTACAAATGAATGTTCACAGGCTTAGAGGTATGGAGGAAACTTCCAGGTTAACAGCAAGTAATTGGCCTGGCTAGGACCAAAATGTAGAGTTGGATGATTCCAAAGACCTTGTTCTTACTGAGAATACTACGTGGGCTCCCTGAAACCTTTCTGTGAACAAACTACTTGCCAAATACCTGGTGGGATATGAACTGGTTTGTCAGGGTAAAATAATATTCAAAAAAAATTCAAAAGAGAAGAAATAAAAAAATTATTATGGTGACTAGAGAAAGAAAAGTAGTAACAAGTACGTAACAGACAATTTCCACAGAAAAAGAAAACCATTTTGACTGTAGGTTTAAAATGTGATGCTATAATTTTGAGGGTACAGAGGTAGCTAGATGATGTCTAGGATACAAAGCCACATTTGTCTCTCTATACAGTTCCTAAAGCCCCAGAAAATTGTTATTTTTCCACTTCAAATTAAGAATATGAGAATTGCCAGTGACTCAGCTATTTTATCTGATAGAACATTTAATGTACCAAAAATGCTAGCAAGTTGAAGAATCTGAAAGCTTACCCAACATACAAAATATCATAAATTTAAATCATTTTCATTTCCAAAAATTAACTTTCACATCATGGACATTATGATAACATGGACAAAAAGGTGTGTATGTGTGTGTGTGCGAGAGAGAGCGAGCGAGAGAGAGAGAGAGGAAGTGGAAATGAATGGGCAAGGGAGAAGAGGGAAAAGAGTAGGAAAATTAAACTCCAAGTAGAAACTGTGTCAACAGTGATTAGGTACACCTTATCCATTTTGATGACACATGTTAGAAACACTTCTGTCAAAAGAAAAGGAATATATTATTTTATTGAGACTTAATATCTTTCCTAAAAGGCTGACAGGATACAAAGTCAATGTTTTCTATTTCAGTACTACTTCTTTCCTCCTCCATTTCTTAACAGTACCCCCCACACAAAATAAAACCAAGGTTGTTAATTATAATTTTATGAAATTATTTATATAAAATATTATTTGGTTCAAATTATACTGATTCTTACTCTGCCATACAACCCAAACTCACTATCTGTTCCTCTTCACTAAAATTTATTATGGAGAGGAGGCAGTCAATTACATTGGTGGACCCCAGTGGACTATGTCTATCATTATTCATGTCCTTGTGCAGTCCCCTCCCACATTACCTCTGGGCTTGGCTATGTGATTTGCTTTGAGTGAGTAGCATGTGTGATGCAAGCAAAACCTTAATATGTTTTCTACATTGGAGCTGTAATCTTGGAAACCACTTGCTGTGCTAAAAGAAAAGATCAGGTTCGATTGGAAGACAAGAGGCCACATGAAGAGAAACCTCTGAGGATAAGAGATAATTCTGACATTCTATTACTAGCAGAGGTCATAGCTGAACGAAACTGCATGAATGACCTCAGCTACAGTAGAGCACCCAACTGACTGAATCCAGTCAACTCATAGAATTATCACAAATAATAAACTGATGTTATTTTAAGCCATTAAATCTGGGATGGGGATTGTTACCTAACAATAGATAAATAAACAGAAAAGACTTAATCTGAAATGTGTGATTGACCACATTGTCCTCAAATACGTTTTTCAATATCATAAGCAAATTTAGCAGAAAAAAAGAATGAGTCTGACCTCAGAAAGTAAGAAAGAATTAGTAAAAATTCTAAAACTGAGCATGGTAGGGCAATGCTGCCAATATTATCATGATACTAATAGAGTAATTCATACAGAACAGATTGTATTATATCCTCATAATCATTGTTTGTCAGCTCTGAGTAATAGTCCTGGTTATTAATGAGGCAGAATTTGCATTTTTAGCTTTGCTGTGTTTCAAAGATTGAGGTAGTTGGATTTGGTTCACATACTGGGATGCAAAAATGGCAGCTTGTAAGTCAGATCCTTTTTATATTCCCATCAGTAGTTAATTATAATTCATAGCTAAAACAAGCACTAGCCAAGTTAGGCCATCTAACACGCCAAGTCTACCCCAAAAGAGGGAAGCCAACATTAAGTTCATTTGTAAATTAAAAATAATAAATATATACATATATGTATTAATTTTATATCTACATACACTTTTTTCAATATTACATTAAAAATGTAAAAACACACACACTAGTATTAGAACATTTTAACAGTCAAATTACACTCTCTGGAGAGAAATTTCAGCTCAACCATTATTCTCCTGGCTTTATTTATGACAAAGCTGCTCACTTCTAGAGAGAAAACTTTTCAAATAGAAAACACAAAAGCACTGAAAACTAAGTTCAAAATCAAACTAACACTTCTAGAAAAGTGAAGCCAAATCTCTCTATGTGGTTTTTTAAAAAGTATTTCCTATAACACAAGTAATACAGTTAATAAAATGACACCATTTGATTTTCATTTTCCCAGTATAAAATATATTAACTTGAGTACATTAGAAAAAATATATGCTGTTTTTTTGAAATAGAGATGTTCATTTTTAAAACACTGAATAGAAATATAGACAGGTATAGATACATATTAATTTTTATGTTGTTATTAAGGTCAAGAGTCCTACATAGCATTTATACTTTGTCTTTTTTTACTTGTTTTAACATGAAACTTTAACATTTGAGCATAAAAAATTGGGAGTTTGATTAGCTGGCTAAGGCAAACAAATGAAGTGGTCAGGCTTAGAAGCCACAATCTGTTCTAATTTTAGCTATTTGAACACATAAAGTTACATAAGGGATATGTATTTTTGAAAAACTATTTAGCAATATGCCCCATTTATAAATGCCAAATAAGTAATTATTCATCACTCAAAAGTTAAAATTAATTTCTATATCAGAAATTGAAAAATTATAGTAAAATTTCAGATATTCTTCCTGTAATGACAAAAAATCTACCTTGTAAACTTAATATCAACTAAAATTAAATTATATTTCAAAGCAATTGACTGCTTACACTTAATAGGAATGAAAATTAACTTTTTAAAATAATCAAATGTAATTATTATATGAAAACTTCATAGGGAATGCCATCCATATTACTTTAAAAACTATTCTAAAAGTACACAAAGAAAGTTACTGGATCCCAAGATAAGTCCTGAAGGTCAAAGCATATCAACTCTGGTGACTATGGTCTCCATCCTTATTCCCAAATCCTCACCCCACTCCTGATTCAAGATTAAAAGCCAAGTTTAGATTATCTTCAATATCTACAGGATCAGATTAGTATAATAGCATTCAGTACTGACTAGAAGAAATCATTATGCCTTTTATAAGCCAGCACTAATTAGAAGCCTAGATAATCCAACTGGGTTTCTGATGGGTCAAAATAGTTATTACCTGGGAGAATTTCAACCTGGGAAGAAATTAGAAAGTGGGAGATATGATCAGTAACTGTTGACTGTATGGGTATCAGCCACATCTATCACATGACACTACAAACAGCATGAAAGAACAATCAGTTCTTTTGCTTGAAAGAAAAACGTCATCAATGGCTAAATATAGAAGCTCAGAGAAGACTAAAACAATATAAAAGTAAATAGGTAATTCATGTAATACTCTGTCCTGCTCATTTTTAATAAAAACATAAATTTAAGGGTAAAGTAAATAATAGATTTAGTAATATCTGGAAACATTCTTTGTTTTCTTTGAAAAATAATTTGAGATTATCCTGTTGTATATTTTAATTGAATAATTCCATTCTGCTTATTTTGTTTTCTAAAAAGGTAATTTCATTTCTTGGAAAAGTTGATACTCATTTCAAGAGTATTGAAACAATAGTCATTTATATAGAAAAATCTTCCTTCCCTCTTTAAATTTTGCATTAATATCATTTGTTTTATGAATTTTGATTGGTGATTCCAACTTTCCTTTCTTCTTGCCTTATGTTTTTGTTATTCTATCTTCCACTATGTATTGCAAGTTAGTCAGTGATCTCTCATCAATATCCTTAGCCATTAGGAATATTAAAAAAGGGCTGGGTGCGGTGACTTACGCCTGTAATCCCAGTATTTTGGGAGGCTGAGGCAGGCAGATCACTTGAGGTCAGGAGTTTGAGACCAGCCTGGGCAACATGGTGAGACCCTGTCTCTATTACAAAAAATTAGCTGGGTGTGGTCACCCATGCCTGTAGTCCTAGCTACTCATGAGGCTGAGGCAGGAGAATCGCTTGAACCAGGGCAGCGGAGGTTGTGGTGAGCTGAGAAATCGCCACTGTACTCCAGACTGAGCAACAGAGTGATACCCTGTCTTAAAAAAAAAAAAAAATCAAAAAAGAAGAGAGACATCTGTCGTGGTCTATCTTACTGTACTCTCTGAACCTTATCAGAAATTTTGATGATTATGGGAGAAGTAAGGGAAGACAGACAATATATGGGAAAAGCAAAGGTATTCCTGAGAAGGCACATCCCTTGCTGATGAAGAGTTGTTACTTCTGTAAGGAAAAACAGAACAATTTTTTTTGTTCTTAATTTGAAATGGGGTCTTGCTATGTTGCTGAGGCTGGCCTCTTGAATGCCTGGTTCAAGCAATCCTCCTACCTCAGCCTCCAGAATAGCTGGGATTACACAAACACCACCATTCCTGGCTAGAAGAAACAATTTTTAAAGGAGATAAAAAATAACAAGAATAAAATCAAACATGGTGAAGTATATTTCACATTAAAGGTAACTATTGCTTTGTGAAACTTTTGCTTGGGTCATACACACACACTCACACAACACACAGACACACACACATATATATATATAAAATATACACTGGGCCATGATATAAAACATTTTTTATACTCTAGCTCACAGTAAGTAATACTTGATAAGCACTGGATTAGATGATCCTTTAAGAAGATCCTATAAGATCCTTTCTAAGTTTTTACATTTCTACATTCCTGGATGAATATGGCTAATAAATAGTATAGGAAATAAACAATACAGTAATTACCAATACAAAGCTGAATATGATTCTCTAAGTGTAAGAGTTTTCTCTCTTCAACACTCTCGAGTTAAAGTTTAAAACATACTTCATTTTATTTTGGAATTGTTTTTAATGAATAACTAGAGAGAAAACATAGAACATTTATCTTGCCAAACCAAAAATATGCTCTTCAAAAAATTAACCGAGCAGATGAGCTGCTTTTATAAC